>NC_000005.10:177265780-177416226 GCF_000001405.40 Homo sapiens | reverse complement strand
TTTCTTTTTTTTTTTTTGAGATGGAGTCTCACTCTGTCACCAGGCCGGAGTGGAGTGGCGCAATCTCGGCTCACTGCAACCTCTGCCTCCCTGGTTCAAGCAATTCTCCTGCCTCAGCGTCCTGAGTAGCTGGGATTACAGTTGCGTGCCACCACTCCAGGCTAATTTTTTTTTTTTTTTTTTTTTTTAGTAGAGACGGGGTTTCACCATGTTGGCCAGGATGGTCTCGATCTCTTGACCTCGTGATCCACCCGCCTTGGCCTCCCAAAGTGCTGGGATTACAGACGTGAGCCACGATGCCCGGCCTAAAATCTGTCTTTTTCATACCCTGGCTCCACTCTTTTTTTTTTTTTTTTTTTGAGACGGAGTCTTACTCTTTTGCCAGTCTGGAGTGCAGTGATGCAATCTCAGCTCACTGCAGCCTCTGCCTCCCAGGTTCAAACAATTCTCCTGCCTCAGCCTCCCAGGTAGCTGGGGTTACAGGCGCGCCACTACACCCGGCTAATTTTTTTGTATTTTTAGTACAGGCAGAGTTTCACCATGTTGGCCAGGCTGGTTTCGAACTCCTGACCTCAGATGATCCATCCACCTCAGCCTCCCAAAGTGCTGGGAATACAGGCGTGAGCCACTGCACCCAGCGCCCATACCCTGGCTCTGCTTTTAATCTTTATTATCTTTATTCTCAGGTAGGTTCTCCCTCTGAGATGTTAAAGATGGCTGCCAGCAGCTCCAGGCTCATTTGTTAGGAATGTGACAACCTCCATGGAAAGAGAAGGCCTCTAGCTTTATAATTCCAGCAAAAATCCTGGGGCTGCCTCTCACTGGTTCGATGTGGGTTAGGTGTTCTTTTTTTTTTTCTTTTGAGATAGAGTCTGGCTCTGTCGTCCAGGCTAGAGTGCAGTGGTGCGATCTTGGCTCACTGCAACCTCTGCCTTCTAGGCTCAAGCCATCATCCCACCTCAGCCTCCTAGGTAGCTGGGACCACAGGCGTGCACCACCACGCCCACCTAATTCAGGTGTTCATTTGAACCAATCGCTGAAGACAGAGGTGGTGTTCCGATTGGCCAGGTCTAGATCAAATGCCCACTCCACCCTCAGCCAAGGGATAGGGTAGGCTTTATTTTATGTATATTGACGCAGGGTGGGGAGGAGCGATTCCCCAAAGAAACAATGAGGGCCATTTCTAGAAGCAGGGAGAATGAATGGTAAACAGGAAATGATAGACATCCATCACAGGCTCTCAAATTATGTTTCACAGCTGTAGCTACCTTGAATTTTCTGGAAGTCAAAGAAGGGGCAGTAGAAATTGAGAGAGATGGAGAGATTTGAGAAATATTTATGTAGCCTGGTGCGGTGGCTCATACCTGTAATCTCAGCACTTTGGGAAGCTGAGGTTGAGGAGATAGCTTGAGCCCAGGAGTTTGAGACCAACCTGGGGAACACAGTGACACCTCACCTCTACAAAAAATTAAAAAATTAGCTGGGTGTGGTGCTGCACGTCTGTATCCCAGCTACTTAGGAGGCTGAGGTGGGAGGATTGCTTAGAGCCTGGGATGCTAAGGCTGCAGTGAGCCATGATCACGTCACTGCACTCTAGCCTGAGCAACAGACTGACACCCTGCCTCAAAAAAGAAAAAAAAGAAAAATATTTAAATAGTGGAATGAACAGAACTAGGTGGCTAAGTAGGCTGGGAGCATGAGGAAGAGAGAGCTCTTGGTTGCAAGCAACAGAAAATGACTCTAGCTGCTTCAACAAAAGGGAATTTACTTTGTGAGAAGGTCTTCGGGAGTTCACGGCATCAGCTCGAAGGAATAGGCTTGGAAATGTGCAGGAATTAAGAGCCACTGGAAGACTAGGAAGCAGGAAGTACAGTGATTTCCCTTGAGCAGACACGGAAGTTGTCCACCTAATATCCATGCCACCGCTCTTCCCTGTTTGCAGAGTCCCAGTTCTGTTCCAGTGGCCACTTTACCTCACATGCCTCTGACCCAGATCCAGGGTTAATAGGTTTAGGCCAGTGATGGGGATCCCCTTTTCCTTGCCAAACATGGCTTAGGGATGTCATGTGAGCCTGTTCTAGCTAAGAAAGCATGAGGAGAGGTCTGCTTGAGATTTGAGGGAGGGTTCCTCATTCCTAAGAAGGAGCTAGTGGAAGGGAAGGTGCCTCTTCTTTGCTTGAACATAATTGAGTTGAAGTGTGATTCCTGGAGCTGTGACAGCCATCTTGTGACCATGAGGGCAGGCAGCCTGAAGGTCTGCACACAGAAGACAAACAAAAAAAGAAAGAACTTGGGTTCTTGATGACATTGTTGAACCACTGAAAGCACTGTTCCTGGAGTCCTGCTGCTCCAGACATCTGGTGACATGGGATGATGAATTCGAATTGCCCTACTGCATATGCTTGGTTTTTGGAAGGCATCCTGACTTAATGCCATGTAGCCGGGATGATTTGGTCAGGGCACAGGTGGTGCAATGCCAGACCTCCAGCTTTTCCTGCCATCCTTGTGTGGCTTGATCAGGATTCAGAGCCCTGGGAGAAAACACTATTGGCTGAGTTTAGGTCCCTCTGGCTATACTATGGTAGGGAGAGGTTGGTCTGGTCCATTAGGCTTCCATAGTGGAGATGGTCTCTAGAAAGTACCCTTTCAGCCGGGTGTGGTGGCTCACGCCTGTAATTCCAGCACTTCGGGAGGCCGAGGTGGGCAGATCATGAGGTCAGGAGTTCGAGACCAACCTGGCCAACATGGTGAAGCCCTGGTCTCTACTAAGGAGACAAAAAATTAGCCGGGCATGGTGGCGTGGGCCTGTAATGGCAGCTACTTGGGAGGCTGAGGCAGGAGAATCACTTGAACCTGGGAGGTGGAGGTTGTAGTGAGCCGAGATCGCACCATGGCAGTCCAGTTTGGGCGACAGCGCGAGACTCCATCTCAAATAAATAACTAAATAAAAATAATAATAAAGTACCCTTTCACCACCACAGCTGGGGAGGGGTGATCACAAAATGAAACTGGGAGAGGAAGAGGAAGGGAGATGGATGTTGAACATCCAAATGACCATTAATGTCCACCTGACACCTCATCTCACACTCCCTACAAGGCACCTTATGCTCACCACATTCCCCATTTGACACGCTGCATTCAGGCTTCTGTGCAGTTGTATTACTCACTCTGCCTGCAAACCCCTACTTGTGGCGAAGACCTGTTCAAAAGGCCCCTTCCATGTAGAGGAACAGCTGCCTTCTCCCCAAGAGGAAGGAGCCAATGTGGGAGTGGCCTTAGGGCCAGGGTCTATACTCAGGAGCAATCAAGAACTGACAGAGCCAGGCATGATGGCATGAACCTGTAATCCCAGCTATTCAGGAGGATGAAGCGAGAGGATCACTTGCGCCCAGAAGTTCCAGGCTAGCCTGGGCAACTTAATAAGACCGAGTCTCTTTGAAACAACAAAAAAGGTGACAAAGGTAGTTTCGCTTTAATGACTCGTCAATATATCTAATAGTTTCACTTTCATCATGGAGTTAACAGCTGTCACGTCAATGACTTTGAAACCAGTTACCTTTGAAACCAGTGGTTGGAAAGGTGCCCCTCCTCTCCTGCCCTCCTCTTTCTGTGTTTCTGTTCCAAGAAGTCTTCCACAGCCTGCCTCTCTTCCAGCAGAATTAATAAATTGCTACACTCAGTCTTCATTTCCCATAAATTACTTTGTATAACTTAGGACTTTGTATAACTGAAAGTGACAGAAGTCCACTCAAATTGGTTTTATTGGCTCATATAACTGAGAAGTCTATTTTTTTTTTTTTTTGGAGATACAGTCTCAGTCTGCTTCCCAGACTGGAGTGCAGTGGCACAATCACGGCTCACAGCATTTTGGACCTCTGGGCTCAAGCAATCCTCCTGCCTCAGACTCACAAGTAGCCGGAACTACAGGCACGCGCCACCATGCCTGGCTAATGTTAAATTTTTTTGGAGAGATGGGATCTCACTATGTTGCCTACATCAGTCTGGAACTCCTGGGCTCAAGTGATCCTCAAGTGATCCCCAGCCTCCCAGAGTGTTGGGATTACAGGCGTGAGCCACTGTGCCTAGCCATAACTGACCAAGTCTTAAGGATACTTCTAGTTTTAGGATGTAGGCTCTCAAAGTCATGAGAAATCAATCCATCAGTACTAGTTCTCAAATGTCGTGTAACAAATCACCCTAACTTGTGGCTTAAAGCAACAACATTTAATGATGATTTATCACAGTTTCTGATGGTCAGTTTTGCCTTGAGGTCTTTCATAAGATTGCAAGCCAAATGTCAGCGAGGGCTGCAGTATCCACTTCCAAGGCAGCTTATTCATGTGGCTGTCCAATTGGCACTGGCTGTCAGCAGGGTGCTTTCCTTTCTCCCTACATGGGCTTCTCTGCAGGGCTGCATGTGTGTCCTCACAACACAGTGGCTGGCTTCCTCCAGAGTGAGCAACCTAAGAGACCGAGGCAGAAACTGCAATGTCTTTTATGACCTGGGCTTGGAAGTCCAACACCCTCACTTCTGCCATATTTTTTTTTTTTTTGAGACAGTCCCTGTCGCCCAGGCTGGAGTGCAATGGCACAATCTCTGCTCACTACAACCTCCACTTCCTGGGTTCAAGCGATTCTCCTGCCTCAGCCTCACGGGTAGCTGGGATTACAGGCACACGCCACTACGCCCGGCTAATTTTTGTATTTTTCATAGAGATGGGGTTTGGCCAACACGTTGGCCAGGCCGGTCTTGAACTCCTGACCTAGAGTGATCTGCCTGCCTTGGCATCCCAAAGTGCTGGGATTACAGGTGTGAGCCACCACACCCAGCCACTTCTGTCATATTCTGATGGACACACAGAACAGCCCTAACTCAATGTGGGAAGACACCATACAAGGGCATGAATCCTAGGTGGTGAGGATCAATGGGGGCTGTCTTTGAGGCTGTCTACCACAGCATCTTTCCATCCTTCCTGCCCTGTTTGCTTTGCTTTTCCTATGTGTAGGCTTCATTCTCAAACAGGCCCTCCCTAGAGAGTGACAAAGGTGATCATCAATGTGTTCAGACCCACATGCTCTGTGCTTAGTAACCCCAGTGCAACTTTTTTGCTTTCCCAAAAGTTCTGGCAAAAGTCCCAAGCTAGCACTTTAATTGGCCTAAATTGTGTATATGCTTATCTCTGAACCAATCACTGTGGATTAGAGATGTCATGCTCTGATTGACCAGACCTAGGCCACATCTCTAGCCCTAGCTCTGAGGGTAGAGTTGGCAGCACTAGAGCCCATGGAAGAAGTAAGAGAGGAGTCGTTGCTAAAGGAAAAATCAAAGTGTCATTACCGAACCAGGACAGATGCTGGGCAGCACATGTGCACCCCGTCTTCTTCTCATGTTCCAGCTGCACATCTTAGTGCCCCTTGGTTTAGCACTTTTCTCATTAAATCATTTGCTTTCTTGCCTCACTTCCTGTGGTTGGTAGAATGCTAAGATGGCCCCAAGATCTCTACCCCTGGTGTTTGCACACCTCCCAGTTATTCTGTCAAACATGAATGTAGATGCTTCTGTGAAAGAATTTTGCACATGTAATTTAAGTCCCAAATTGTTTGACCTTAAAATAAGGAGAATGGCAGGGCCAGGCATGGTGGCTCATACCTGTAATCCCAGCACTTTGGGAGGCCAAGGCGGGCAGATCACGAGGTCAGGAGATCGAGACCATCCTGGCTAACACAGTGAAACCCCATCTCTACTAAAAATACAAAAAATTAGCTGGGCGTGGTGGCGGGTGCCTGTATTCCCAGCTACCCAGGAGGCTGAGGCAGGAGAATGGCGTGAACCCGGGAGGCGTAGCTTGCAGTGAGCCAAGATCGTGCCACTGCACTCCAGCCTGGGTGACAGAGCCAGACTCTGTCTCAAAAAAAAAAAAAAAAAGGAGAATGGCTTTGGTGGGCCTGACCTAGTCAGGTGAGTTCTTAAAAGGCGACACATGGCCCGGTGCAGTGGCTCAGGCCTGTAATCCCAGCACTTTGGGAGGCCGAGGCGGGTGGATCACGAGGTCAGGAGATCGAGACCATCCTGGCTAACATGGTGAAACCCCGTCTCTACTAAAAAGACAAAAAATTAGCTGGGCGTGGTGGTGGGCTCCTGTAGTCCCAGCTACTCGGGAGGCTGAGGCAGGAGAATGGCGTGAACCCGGGAGGCGGAGCTTGCAGTGAGCGGAGATTGCGCCACTGCACTCCAGCCTGGGCGACAGAGCGAGACTCCGTCTCAAAAAAAAAAAAAAAAAAAAGAAAATTAAAAGTGGGTATTGTTGTAAGATGCTGAGTTTATGGTAGTTTGTTACATGACAATAGAAAATGAACACACTTCACAGTGGACTCCAAGATCCCCATGATCTTTGATCTCCTTAACCTCCTGATCTCCACAGGACCCAGAGCATAAGAATGTCCCTTCTTCTGCTTCCAGTCCCACTATCTAGAAAAGAGAGGAGGAGCCCAGCTCTTCATTTCACCCCCACCCACAAACTCCCAACTTTCCGGCCCTCAAGGGGTGACCAAGGAAGTTGCTCCACTTGGCTTTCCACAAACAGCCTGTGCCCCACCAGGCTCAGGAGGGCAGCTTGACCAATCTCTATTTCCAAGACCTTTGGCCAGTCCTATTGATCTGGACTCCTGGATAGGCAGCTGGACCAACGGACGGATGCCATGAGGGCTCTGCTGCTCCTGGGGTTCCTGCTGGTGAGCTTGGAGTCAACACTTTCGGTGAGTGCTGTGGGAACCAGGATTGTCCCAGGATTGTTCTGGGGGGTCGCTATCACAGCCATGAGCCATGGCCTCTGCTCATGACCTGTGGGTCCAGGTGACTAGGAGGCCTATGTGGAAAGGTGAGGCCAGCCCGGAAGGCCCAGGCAGAGGAGACAGACAACCAGACTGGGTGGATACAAGGGCACAGCCTGCATTTCTGGGGGAGATGGGCCTTAAGAAGACAACGGGGGGAGGTAGAAAGGGTTTGGGTCTTGGGAAGAAATCTCTGCATTTCTGGGCTGTGAGAGGAAGCTGCAGACTAGCAACAGATCGGTGGCAGGCTATGACTTATAGTCAGTTCCCTGCCTTCTTCTCTCCCTTGTAGATTCCACCTTGGGAAGCCCCCAAGGAGCATAAGTACAAAGCTGAAGAGCACACAGTCGGTAAGTGGCCTGGCTCCTCCTCCCGGGAACCCTTGGGTGGGGATGTGTATGGTGCAGTGTGTGCAGTCTCAGGGCAGTCTAGTCTAGTGCCTACCTGGTGCTAGGTCTTATGCCCATGGGCACTAGAGTGATCGTGAGCTGTGTGATCCTTGAGGGCAGGGTATGGGCTGTGTCTAAGTGCCCACGAGCCTGGCTCGGAGCAGGTGCTTGAGATATGTGCTGCTGGCGCCATCACACCTGGGCTCCTGCCAGCCTTCCTCAGTTTCCCCAGCTTCTCCCCTTCTTTTCCTTTCCCCAGTACGTCTCATGGGCATCATTCATGCCACACAGAGGCCAGGGCCTTCAATGGGCAAGGAAGGATCAAGAGCTTGTCTCTGGCATCTGAATGCCTCTGAAGCCCAGCTTTATCACTTATGAGCTGGGTGACTCTGGGCGAGGGATTTGAGTTCTCCAAGCTTCAATTTCCCCTTCTGTGAAACCAGGTTGATAACAGTAAACCTCTTAGGGTTGTTGAGAAGGGAAACCCATGTGAGGTATTCAGCCCATCACCTGGTGCATGGAAATGCTTTACAAATATTAGCTTTTATTATGAAACTACCTTTTAGATGAAGGGTACCTGCCATTTCCCCCTTCCTCAAGCTCTGCCATAGCTCCCCATTGCTTTCATTCTTCCAGACACTAAATTACCTACATGCCAGGCATGGTGGCTCATGCCTGTAATCCCAGCACTTTGGGAGGCCAAGGTCGGTGGATCATGAGGTCAGGAGTTCGAGACCAGCCTGGCCAACATGGTGAAATGCTGTCTCTACTAAAAGTACAAAAATTAGCCAGGCATGGTGGCATGCGCCAGTAGTCCCAGCTACTCGGGAGGCTGAGGCAGAAGAATTGCTTGAACCTGGGAGGTGAAGGTTGCAGTGAACGAAGATCACACCATTGCACTCCAGCTTGGGCAACACAGCAAGACTCCGTCTCAAAAAAAAAAAAAAAATTTACCTAGAGTGTGGCACATAGCAGGGCCTGTGAACCAGATGGACCTTACCCTGGTGGGCCTGACTTGGTGGGGTTGAGTCTCTAAGCATGGCGTTGAGGCCCAGCACATTCCAACCCTGGACTCCCTCAGCCTCCTCTCTTCACCCCACACCCAAAAGTTTCTCCTCTCTCTTGCCTTACCCAAACTTGGTGCCCTATCCTTGCCTAATCCCCTGCCTAAGGTCCCCCTCCTCTCTGTCCGTCCATCCCATCTGCATCTTTTTTTTTTTTTGAGATGGAGTCTCGCTCTGTCCCCTAGGCTAGAGTGCAATGGCGCGATCTTGGCTCATTGCAACCTCCGCCTCCTGGGTTCAAGCGATTCTCTGCCTCAGCCTCCCGAGTTGCTGGGATTACAGGCACACAACTTCATGCTCAGCTAATTTTTGTATTTTTTAGTAGAGACAGGGTTTCACCATGTTGGCCAGGCTGGTCTCGAACTCCTGCCCTCAGGTGGTCCGCCCACCTTAGCCTCCCAAAGTGCTGGGATTACAGGCGTGAGCCACCGCGCCTGGCCCCCATTTGCATCTTAAAGGTCCATCTCAGATCCATTTCCATTTACTGTCCTAGTTCTGGTTTGGTCCTTGGCAAGTGCACTTTGCCTTGAACAAAATAGTGGCAAAAGCTTATTGAGCAGGTACTTTGTGCCAGACACTGCTCAGCATTTCATGGCATTATCTCATGAAGCCCCACGACAATTCCTCTGAAGAAGACACAGGCAATTCTCATTATTCGCGATGGTTATGTTCTATAAAATCACAGTGAACATTGAACTAGCAAACAGTATTAGGTTCCTGTGAGCCTCTGGTCACAACATTTTCATCAACCAACAGCATATAATCTGGTTTTATGTATGATTCTGTTTAAAGACATTTTATTTAGTATATGTGTTGCTGATTCATCAATGCTAAGCTGATGGCACTATAGCACACACCTGAATCAAGTGTCTAACACACGCTTTCTCCCTAAGGTAGCCTTCTTGTGCTTAGGAACTACACAGCTCTTCAGCAGGAGGCTCAGAGGCCATTTCCAAAAGCCAAATCCCCAGCAAAAGCACAAAGTGTGAAAAACGTTGCACTAAGTAGACTGAGAAGGACACTCATTCAATAGGAGAGCTGAAACAAGCAGCAGCAGCGTGACGCCTTGTTGAACCTTAACTGGGAATGTGCAAATTTTTCACTGCTCTGTGCATGCCCACAAATGGCCATGAAAACATTTCAAGTATTGACTTGGGAGTTACAAATAAAATTCAGCAAGTAGGCACATTCTCAATGTAGAACCAGAGAAGAATGAGGATCAACTGTACTATTATTACTGCCGTTTTACAGATAAGGAAACCAAGGCTCAGATCAGAGTGGTTAACAGTGACTTCAACATTCAACAAGTATTATTAAGTGCCTACTTTGTGGCAAGTGCTCTTCCTGGCCTTGGGACTGAAGACTTACCCAAGGTCACACAGCTAGCAGGTTGTGGAGTCAGGAGTCTACTCCAGCTATCTGACTCCTGAACCCAAGTTTTTTTTTTTTTCTTTAAGATGGAGTCTCACTCTGTCACCCAGGCTGGAGTGCAGTGGCGCGATCTCGGCTCACTGCAAGCTCCGCCTCCCGGGTTCACACCATTCTCCTGCCTCGGCCTCCCGAGTAGCTGGGACTACAGGCACCTGCCACCACCCCCAGCTAATTTTTTTGTATTTTTAGTAGAGAGGGGGTTTCACTGTATTAGCCAGGATGGTCTTGATCTCCTGACCTCGTGATCTGCCCGCCTTGGCCTCCCAAAGTGCTGGGATTACAGGCTTGAGCCACCGCGCCCGGCCCTGAACCCAACTTTTAGAGCAGAAAGTGTTTTCAATGCACAGCGACCTTTTTGAGGGTCTGTCCTTTTCCTGACCAGACCCTGAGGGACAGTGCCTGAGCAGTTGAGTACAGGGGAAGTCCTCAGAGAGTGTGTTGTCCCTGCAGTTCTCACTGTCACCGGGGAGCCCTGCCACTTCCCCTTCCAGTACCACCGGCAGCTGTACCACAAATGTACCCACAAGGGCCGGCCAGGCCCTCAGCCCTGGTAAGACTACGCAGAGGAGTTGGAGCAGGGGCCTGGGAGACATGTACCCTGCCTGTCCTTCTGTCCAAGGAACTCTGCTTGGAGAGAGGGGACTGTGATAGGGCAGGGTGGGCCAGGCCCCTGGGTAGAGCAGGGAAGCCTTGTCTCTTTCTACAGGTGTGCTACCACCCCCAACTTTGATCAGGACCAGCGATGGGGATACTGTTTGGAGCCCAAGAAAGTGAAAGGTGCTACACACAGCCTCTGGGGTGGCCTGGGGCTCTCTCCTCCCGCCTCATTACTCTCCTGGTATCACCAGACCCCACACACCTGGGATTCTGGACCCAGCCCCTTCTCTCCCTCCACAATACCCTTTGGAAGTCCAGAGGGAGAGTTCTGGGAAGGAGTGGTCCCATTTTGCAGGTGGGTAAACCAAGCTTGGAAACTTGGAGTAGCAAGGTCACAAGGCAAGTAGGTTCAAGAAGGGCCTTGGCCCCCAGCTGTGTGACTCAGCTCCCTGCTCTTCCTTCCACCATGTCCATCTCTCAGACCACTGCAGCAAACACAGCCCCTGCCAGAAAGGAGGGACCTGTGTGAACATGCCAAGCGGCCCCCACTGTCTCTGTCCACAACACCTCACTGGAAACCACTGCCAGAAAGGTGAGGAGATGTGGAGGACCTGGGCGGGGTGCTGGGGGACAGGGGCAACCCTGGGCCTACAGAATAGGTTGCTGGATACTCGGAGACTTGGCATGGTCCTAGACTCTCCTGAGACCACTATCCCTCTTTGTCCCCAGAGAAGTGCTTTGAGCCTCAGCTTCTCCGGTTTTTCCACAAGAATGAGATATGGTATAGAACTGAGCAAGCAGCTGTGGCCAGATGCCAGTGCAAGGGTCCTGATGCCCACTGCCAGCGGCTGGCCAGCCAGGGTGAGCAGATGGTTGGGAACGGGCCAGGGAGGAGCGTCAGGAAGACAGGCTGGCAGGAGGCCGGGTGGTGTGCCAGGAAGGAGAGCTCTCTGGGGGGGTCTTTAGGCCCAGGGGTGGCTCACTGCGTTCCCTCCCCAAGCCTGCCGCACCAACCCGTGCCTCCATGGGGGTCGCTGCCTAGAGGTGGAGGGCCACCGCCTGTGCCACTGCCCGGTGGGCTACACCGGAGCCTTCTGCGACGTGGGTGAGTGAGGGTCTGGGGCAAGCAGAAGGCCAGCCCCCAGGTGGGACGGGCTTGCCAGGAAGGAGGAGGGAGAGTGCGGAAAGCAGATGAGAGGGAGGCAGGAGAGCCCAGCCTTGGCTGCCCAGGGAGCCCCCTTTCTCCTCAGACACCAAGGCAAGCTGCTATGATGGCCGCGGGCTCAGCTACCGCGGCCTGGCCAGGACCACGCTCTCGGGTGCGCCCTGTCAGCCGTGGGCCTCGGAGGCCACCTACCGGAACGTGACTGCCGAGCAAGCGCGGAACTGGGGACTGGGCGGCCACGCCTTCTGCCGGTGCGCCGCGTGGGGCTGGGTGACCCCTCCGCCCCAGGGCTCCGGGCTCCCGGCGCTCTAACGGCGCCCCGTCGTGTGGCTACAGGAACCCGGACAACGACATCCGCCCGTGGTGCTTCGTGCTGAACCGCGACCGGCTGAGCTGGGAGTACTGCGACCTGGCACAGTGCCAGACCCCAACCCAGGCGGCGCCTCCGACCCCGGTGTCCCCTAGGCTTCATGTCCCACTCATGCCCGCGCAGCCGGCACCGCCGAAGCCTCAGCCCACGACCCGGACCCCGCCTCAGTCCCAGACCCCGGGAGGTTAGGAAGTGGGGGGGGGAAGGAGGAGCCGAGAGGGCGCCGGGCGAGCTAGATTCCGGCCAGCCGGCCGCGGGCTCTCCGTCCTCAGCCCCTGCTCCTCCACAGCCTTGCCGGCGAAGCGGGAGCAGCCGCCTTCCCTGACCAGGAACGGCCCACTGAGCTGCGGGCAGCGGCTCCGCAAGAGTCTGTCTTCGATGACCCGCGTCGTTGGCGGGCTGGTGGCGCTACGCGGGGCGCACCCCTACATCGCCGCGCTGTACTGGGGCCACAGTTTCTGCGCCGGCAGCCTCATCGCCCCCTGCTGGGTGCTGACGGCCGCTCACTGCCTGCAGGACCGGCGAGTACCCGCCCGCCCAGAGCCGCCCCAGGGGCCGCGGCTCCTCCGTCTCCCAGCGCAGCTTCCACGCTGCACCCGAACCCGTGCCCTACCTTCTCCCGCCCCACCCTTCTTTCCACGCCCCTCCGGAGCTCCCGGGGAGGAAGCTGGAACACGGGATTGGGGTTCGGGAGCAGGGGGCTTCCCCAGAACGCTTGTGGCCAGGTCTGAGAGCGCTGCCTCTCCCCTACCCCCCCCGCAGGCCCGCACCCGAGGATCTGACGGTGGTGCTCGGCCAGGAACGCCGTAACCACAGCTGTGAGCCGTGCCAGACGTTGGCCGTGCGCTCCTACCGCTTGCACGAGGCCTTCTCGCCCGTCAGCTACCAGCACGACCTGGGTGCGTGGGGGCGCCCCGCGGGGACGGGAAGAGAGCTTGGGGCCCCGGCGTCCCCGCCTCACGCTCCTCTCCGCCCGGGTTAGCTCTGTTGCGCCTTCAGGAGGATGCGGACGGCAGCTGCGCGCTCCTGTCGCCTTACGTTCAGCCGGTGTGCCTGCCAAGCGGCGCCGCGCGACCCTCCGAGACCACGCTCTGCCAGGTGGCCGGCTGGGGCCACCAGTTCGAGGGTAGGCACAACTGCTAGGGGCAGGGGTAGGGGAGGAGACCTTTGATCACTGGGTTAGGCGGAAGAAGCCCGCGACTTTGGTATCGTTCCGGGTGCCTACAGAATGGGTGGCGCTGACCTGATGGGTTGTGAGAATGTGTAGGTGAATCCCAGGTAGAATCCCAGGGCCTGGGATTCACTGCTGGGATCCCCAAATCTCCTGGGGATACAGGGAGAATCGAACTTGCTCTTGGTTCCCTCTGGGCGCCGGGCTGCAAAGGCCAACTAGGACGCTGGCCCCGCGCTCCGGGCTAGTGTGGGAGCCAGGTTCTGCGACTCTGGATGGGTGGTGGGGGAGGGGTTTCTGTTTCCGCTCCGCCCATTCAAATCCTGGCTTTTCTCTGGACCTCAGCCTCCTTGCCTATGAAATTGAATTAATGGCACCTCCTCCCCTTCGGGCTTGCTGCGAGAGAGGAAGGGCATGAGTGGGTTTACAAGCGCCTGGAGCAGCTTTGTCCATCGTCCGGGCGGCAAGCGTTGTCAGATGGGGTGTGAAGAAGGCGCTCTGTGTTCGCAGGGGCGGAGGAATATGCCAGCTTCCTGCAGGAGGCGCAGGTACCGTTCCTCTCCCTGGAGCGCTGCTCAGCCCCGGACGTGCACGGATCCTCCATCCTCCCCGGCATGCTCTGCGCAGGGTTCCTCGAGGGCGGCACCGATGCGTGCCAGGTGAGCTCTTAGCCCGGTTGGCGCCCTTCCCCGAGGCCGTCAGGCACAAATCTCAGGTCCACAGCGCTGAGCTGCGTGTTTCCGACCCAGGGTGATTCCGGAGGCCCGCTGGTGTGTGAGGACCAAGCTGCAGAGCGCCGGCTCACCCTGCAAGGCATCATCAGCTGGGGATCGGGCTGTGGTGACCGCAACAAGCCAGGCGTCTACACCGATGTGGCCTACTACCTGGCCTGGATCCGGGAGCACACCGTTTCCTGATTGCTCAGGGACTCATCTTTCCCTCCTTGGTGATTCCGCAGTGAGAGAGTGGCTGGGGCATGGAAGGCAAGATTGTGTCCCATTCCCCCAGTGCGGCCAGCTCCGCGCCAGGATGGCGCAGGAACTCAATAAAGTGCTTTGAAAATGCTGAGAAGGAAAGCTCTTTTCTTCATGGGTCCCGCCGGGAAATGCCAAGACAGAAAAGCGATTCACAGCTTCTCCACAGCTCTCAGAGAACAAGGTCTATGAGATCTTAACGTGCAAAATCTAGATGCCAGCCCAGCTAATGTTTACTGAGCCTAGGATACTGTATACCAAGCCCTGTGCAAGGAGAAGCTGCATGTTATTCCTTATGAGAAACTAACATTTTGTTTACAGAGCAGTAGTTCTCAGACCATACATTAAGATCACTTGGGGAGCGTTTTGAGCCAATCTATGCCCAAGTTCCACCTCAGACCAATTAAATCAGTATGTCTAGGGATGGGGCATGGGTAGTGGTATATTTGTAAAACTCCCCAGATAATTCCATGTACAGCCAAGGTTGAGAATCGTGGTTAGAAATACTTAGCATTGGCCGGGCGCGGTGGCTCACGCCTGTAATCCTAGCACTTTAAGAGGCCAAGGCAGGTGGATTGCTCAGGAGTTCGAAACCAGCCTGGGCAACACGATGAAACCCCGTCTCTACTAAAATACAAGAAATTAGCCGGGCACGGCGGCGTGCGCCTGTAGTCCCAGCTACTCAGGAGGCTGAGGCAGGAGAATCACTTGAACCGGCAGGAAGGAAGGAAGGAAGGAACAGAGGGAGGGAAAGAGAGAGACAGAAAGAAAAGAAAAAAGAAAATAGAAAAAAAGAGCATTGACTGTGGCGTGGACCCTAAGGGCTGGGTGACATATCGTTGTCCCCACCCCAACACGCACTAGTGTAGTGGGTCTGAGAGTCCCTTGGCTAGCAGTACCATCACCAGGGAACTTGTTACACATAACAAATTCTCGGGCTACACTTTATACTGCTGAACAGAAAGTCTGGGGTGGGGCCCAGCAATCTGTTTAACAGCCTTGCGGGGGATTCTGATGTTCTCTCATGCTTAAGAACCACAATCTGGGGGTTGAATGGTTGGTTCCCTTACAAGTGAAGGTCTGGCTGTCCAGACACAACATCCTTTTTTCACAAAACCAGCTTTTTAAAATTAAAAATAGATTGGCCAGATGCGGTGGTTCACGCCTGTAATCTCGTCACTTTGAGAGGCTGAGGCGGGAGGATTGTTTGAGCTCAAGACTTCCTGACCCGCCTGGGCAACATAGTGAGACCTCATCTCAAAAAAATTTTTTTTAATTAAAATTTGTTTTTGCTTTTTTAGAGACGGGGCCTCGCTCTGTGGCTCAGGCTGGCGTGCAGCGACACGATCCTATAATAGTTTACTATAATCTCGCTACTGAGTTCAAGCGATCCGCCCGCCTCGGCCTCCCAAAGCGCTGGGATTACAGGAGTGAGCCGCTGCGCTCTGCCAAACCCATCCTACAGGATAACCTTAGAACTGCGACAGCACTAAACGCCCACGCCCCACGTGCCCCAGCCTGGGTGGTCGCTCCGGGACGGCGCCTTGTGTGACGTCACAGCCCCGCCCAGCCTGCCTCACAGCGCCGCAGGCCTTCCCCGCGTGGCGCCTCTATATTTCCCCGAGAGGTGCGAGGCGGCTGGGCGCACTCGGAGCGCGATGGGCGACTGGAAGGTCTACATCAGTGCAGTGCTGCGGGACCAGCGCATCGACGACGTGGCCATCGTGGGCCATGCGGACAACAGCTGCGTGTGGGCTTCGCGGCCCGGGGGCCTGCTGGCGGCCATCTCGCCGCAGGAGGTGGGCGTGCTCACGGGGCCGGACAGGCACACCTTCCTGCAGGCGGGCCTGAGCGTGGGGGGCCGCCGCTGCTGCGTCATCCGCGACCACCTGCTGGCCGAGGGTGACGGCGTGCTGGACGCACGCACCAAGGGGCTGGACGCGCGCGCCGTGTGCGTGGGCCGTGCGCCGCGCGCGCTCCTGGTGCTAATGGGCCGACGCGGCGTACATGGGGGCATCCTCAACAAGACGGTGCACGAACTCATACGCGGGCTGCGCATGCAGGGCGCCTAGCCGGCCAGCCAGGCCGCCCACTGGTAGCGCGGGCCAAATAAACTGTGACCTGGGCGCGGCTGGCTCCTCCTCCACTTGCGCGGTGGGGGGAGTTGTAAATAAGGAAACTGGTCTTTGCAAGACGGTTACCTGGTGGAGCCGGGATTTTGAGTCTAGAGGCTGCCAGGCCCCTGTGCCCTACACCCTGCTCTCCCATGGACGCCTTGCAGAGGCTCCTGGCCTGACTGCTGCTCCTTGGCGCGTTCCCAGGGTCCTAGGGACTCCGCAGCTGAGGAAGAGTCCAAGGGTGGGGGCTTCTCAAAGTCTGTTTCAGCCTTAGCGTCCTTTCTCAGAGATATTCCCACACATTAGGCAGGACAAGTAAAGGGAGCCCCCTCCCCATCCCGCGAACACCTCTCCCCATCAGGGTGTCAGGCTGGAGGCCAATTTGCTCCTCCCCCCTCCACTCATACCTCAAGCACTAGCAAGTTGTGAGTGGGTGACAGGATGGGCTTGGTGGCTTGTAAAGCAGTTCTGGGGCTCACAGGCCTCTGCATCTCTGCCCACATTCCTCCAAGGGGAGCCTACTGAGAGGGCTCATGTCCAAGACCATCGCAATTGGGTTTGAGACCTTACATCCTGCCTTCCCCAGGCCTTCGAAAAGGCCCCGCAGGAGTCCCTGGACTAGAGGGAGGAACTCTGGCATCCCTACCCGGGAGTCTCACTCTGCAGGCCTCAGTTTCAGGGTGACCTATGGAGGAGGGGGAATTGAAAAGCTTGGGTAAGTTTGAGGCCTGGTTTATTGCCCAAAGATAGTGGACAAAAGTGGGAGGGAGGGTGTCTGGTCCCTGCCCTCCATGTGCTGGGGCCCAGGGCATGGCCTCTCTTGCCCACCCCCACCCTTCCCGTCCCCTCCCCCAGCGGCCCTGATGGCAGACCCCACCTGTCACTTATTCTGGAGCCCTGATCTTATCCCAGCAGGAAGGAGTGATGTGTGGCTGAGGTGGGTGAATTTAGAGGGCAGAGGGAGACCAGAGGAAGTTCAGCCAGGTGGGGGTCAGGGGGTGGGGGTGCAGAATCCTCCTTACACTTGCCTTGGGGGTGGCCCCAGGCCTAGGAGGGGCTTCCAGGGAGTTTGAATTGTGGTTTGGACTCACTAAGGTAGGGCCAGGCAGATGGTTGGGGTGAGCCTGCAGGGCTGGCTTCTCTGGAACTGCACCTGGCCTGGGCAGGGCAGGCTGCTCTTGCAGCCAGTCTTTGAGGGGAGATGGTGCTGCTGAACCCCCTGGCTTGGTCTTCCCTTTGCCATTGATGGAGAGCAAAAAGACTTCCGAATGCCTGAGGAGAGTTTTAATTCCTTTGTTTTTTTTCCATCAGGCAAGTGTTGGGAAGGGAATTAATTGTGGTGGTGCCGAAGACCTGGGTTAGGATGAGGAGATGGTATCTTGGAGGAAGGAAGGTGGCAAGGAGGTGTGCAAATTCAGTAACGCAGGCACCAACATCTATGCACAAACAGCTGCACAGTCATATACCCAGACCCACCCTTACTCCTGCCTATCCTAGTCATGTGTACACGTGCAGAGGACCTGAAATCATACCCAGATATCCTGCAGCCTGCACACAGCCTCCCACAGGTGTGTCTGTGTACACCTGCATGGGCTGGCACACCTGTACACAAATACAAGCTTCTACACATGACAGGTGCACATGCAGACTCACCCCCACACATGCACACACACCGACACTCTCACACAAGCCCAGAGCTTTGCGGAGCTACAGAAGGAGAGACTGGCACCCAGGGTGGCACAGGCACATGCACATACCTACACACACCCTCCCTCCCCTGCCTTTCCACCCCAGGCCTTCCCCATTCCAGGCTGTAGTCTGGGCCCACAGCCTAGAGGCGGGTGGCATTGTGGTGAGCAGGCAGTGCAAGACGGGGGGAGGGTGTGGCAGGGGGTAGCTCCTCCAGGAAGACCCTGGGGGGCAGCGGGGGTGAGCGGGGCTCAGGCCTGGCACAGCATAGGGTGGCGCGGGTGATGAGGTGGTCCAGGGGCTTCAGGGAGTGCATCCAGCGAGGCAGGAAGTCCCATGTCTGTAACCACTTGGGCAGGTGCCCGGGACTCCGACTCTGCAGGACATTGATGAGCACCACGAAGGCCAGCAGGGCCCCGAAGGGCGTGCCCACACCTACCATGACCTGCCAGCCTGCCATGGAGATGCCAAACACCAGTGAGGGCAGCAGCAGGAAGCAGACAAGGAGATAGAGGACGGCAAACCAGCGGTACTTGGCCGTGCGTTTCCCCAGCGCCTTGGCCATGCGGATGGGCAGGCGTGTGCAGGGCACCGGGTACCACAGAAGGATACCCGAGATGTTGAAGAAGAAGTGACAGAGGGCAATCTGCAGGGGATGAGGCAGAGGGGCTGAGATGGGCACTGGCTCCCAGGTCCTGTGTCAGGCCAGCAGGGGTAGATGATAGGAACCCCGATCTGGTCTGGGCAGCAGGAAAGTTTCCACTTAGGGGTGATGTGCCCCCTGCCCCGAGATCACCCCGAGGTGGCTATGCTGGCTATGCAAATATTGAAATACTTCTAGACCAGTTGGTAAATAACTACTGCCCTGAGCTCCCCACATTTTCCCCACTGACCCCTCGCACAGGAATCCCCCAGCAGATACTGCCAAAATCCAGCAGCTAAAGGATTGATGTCAGTTTCTGGACCCTCATTCAGTCAGTGCCTTGGCTTGTCAGTTACTCCTTTGCTCCTAGAATAATTCCCCTTTGCCATTTGCGGCCTTGACCCCCGCAATGGATTCCCCAAACTGCTCCAGGCCCTCTTTTGTAGTGCCTCTTCCTCTTCCTCTTCCTTATGGTGCAAATCCGACTCACTGCTATTTATTGGTGTAATTATGAGCAGTGTCTCCCTATTAGATGCTAAGGTCTCGAGGGTGGTATTGGGTCTACTTTGCCCATAATGGTTTCATTGAGCATATTAGGTGGCCCTTAGTAGGCAGTCAAAATATTTGTTCCATGTTGTCACACCTTTGTGAGGCCCCACACCCCAGAGGCAGCTCCATCCTGCCCCAGGCGAGGCTACACTCCCAGCGCACCTGGAAAGCGCTGGACAGCTTCTCCCTGGGGCTGGCCAGGGCAGCCAGGATGGCCGTGGTGGTGGTGCCGATGTTGGAACCCAGTGTGAGCGGGTAGGCCCTCTCAATGCTGATCACACCAAGACCTGGGGACAGAGGGAGAGGAAGTGGGACCCCCAGCGTCTCCTTCGGCCCTTTCCCTGCCAGCCCTGGCCCACCCCACTCCACCTCTACATGGGCACTCACCGATGAGTGGGGTGATGGCCGAGGTGAACACAGAACTGCTCTGGACCACGAAGGTCATGCTGGCGCCCACCACCATGGCAAAGTAGCCTGTGACCCAGGTGAAGGGGGCAGGGAAGTCTGCAAGGAAACCGCATCCCAGCAGGCTGGGGTCAGAGCGGGGACATTGGGAGAGCAGACCTCCGCGGGGGCACTGGGAGAGCGGACCTCCGCGGGGGCACTGGGAGAGCGGATCTCCGCGGGGGCACTGGGAGAGAGGACCTCCGCGGGGGCACTGGGAGAGAGGACCTCCGCGGGGGCACTGGGAGAGCGGACCTCCGCGGGGGCACTGGGAGAGAGGACCTCCGCGGGGGCACTGGGAGAGAGGACCTCCGCGGGGGCACTGGGAGAGCGGACCTCCGCGGGGGCACTGGGAGAGCGGATCTCCGCGGGGGCACTGGGAGAGACGACCTCCATGGGGGTTTGCTCCCACTGCAGTTGCTTCCACTTGGCCTCTTTGCTCCTGGATTGAAGGCCTTTCTCAGCCTGGCTCCGTCAGGCAACTGTGCCTTTGATGGGGCTGTTCCCTCTGCTGGGAATATCCTACTCAGCATCTGAATATTCATCCTCAGACTCAGCATGGATGTCACTTCCTCTGGAAAGCCTTCCCTGACCCCCTGCTCTGGAGCAGACTTTTTCTCCCTTCTCTGAGCTCCCACAGCCCCATGATACCCCTTATTCTAGTACTTGTCATGCAGCCCCTCCCAGTGCATGAAGTTTAAAATGAAAACCAAGGCTGGGCAAGGTGGCTCACACCTATAATCCCAGCACTTTGGGATGCTGAGTTGGGTGGATCACCTGAGGCTGGGAGTTCGAGACTAGCCTGACCAACATAGTGAGAGCCCATCTCTATAAAAAAAATTTATGGTTAATAGGAAGAGGCTGGGCATGGTGGCTCACACTTGTAATCCCAGCACTTTGGGAGGCCAAGGCGAGAGGTTCACTTGAGGCCAGGTATTCAAGACCAGCCTAGCCAACATGGCAAAACCCTGTCTCTACTAAAAATACAAAAATTAGCTGAGTGTGGCGGTGCACACCTGTAATCCCAGTTTACTCAGGAGACTGAAGTGGGAGGATCACTTGAACCTGGGAGGCAGAGGTTGCAGTGAGCTGAGATTGCACCACTGCACTCCAGCCTGGGTGACAAAGTAAGACTCTGTCTCAAAAAACAAAAAAGGGAAAATGAAAATCAAATGGTGTTGCTCCCTTACCCCAAGTCTTCTGAGTGCTCATGTTACCCTCAATAAAGTCCAGGCTCTGAGCAGAGCCTGGAGACCCCATGCTCTGGCCCCTTCCGTGCCACCTCACTGACCCCACTCAGGCAATCCCTTACCCTGCTCCTGCCAGCTACTGGCCACCCTTCTGTGCCACGGACCTGCCATGCTGGTTCCTGCCTCTGAGCCTTTGCACATACTGTTCCTCCACCCAGAGTGCTCTTCATCCGCATCGTGGCTACTTGTGTCTGTTCAAATGCCAACTGCACTGAGCGGCCTCAAACAGCGCATTGGAAACCGTCTCTTCCACACCCTACTGCACTGCCATTTTTGCTATGTCCTTGGCAGGTACCTCTCTCTGAATTTATCCCCCTAATTCATTTTCCTTCCTATTCCTAATTCATTTTCTTTTTCTATTTTTATTTATTTATTTATTTTTGAACTCTGTTGCACAGGTCGGAGTGCAGTGGTGCCATCATAGCTCACTGCGGCCTCAACCTGCTAGGCTCAAGCGATTCTCCCACTCAGCCTCCTGGGTACCTGGGACTATAGGAGCACACCACCATGCCCAGCTAATTTTAAAATTTTTTGTAAAGACAAAAGTCTCGGCCGGGCACGGTGGCTCATGCCTGTAATCCTAGCACTTTGAGAGGCTGAGGCGGGTGGATCATCAGGTGAGGAGTTTGAGACCAGCCTGGCCAACATGGTGAAACCCTGTCTCGACTAAAAATACAAAAAATTAGCCGGGTGTTGTGGCCGGCACCTGTAATCCTAGCTACTCGAGAGGCTGAGGCAGGAGAATCACTTGAACCCTGGAGGTGGAGGTTGCAGTGAGCCAAGATCATGCCATTGCACTCCAGCCTGGGCAATAAGAGTGAAATTGTCTCAAAAAAAAAAAAAAAAAAAAAAAAGACAAAGTCTCACTATGTTGCCCAAGCTGGTCTTGGACTCCTGGGCTCAAGTGATCCTGCTGCTTCAGCCTCCCAAAGTGCTGGATTTACAGGTGTGAGCCATTTGCCAATCTCATGTATTTTTCATTGCTTTCCTCCCCCTGCTGGGCTGTGAGCCCCTCAGGGCAGGACCCAACTCTGTTTGTCTCACCTCTGTATACCTGGCACTACACCTCCCTTGTCACACAATGGGGGCTTAAGTACTCTTTGTTGATTGAATCAAACAATGGTCCTTGAGCATCTCCACCTGCTAAAATGGAACCACAGCCAGAGGCGGCCACAGGTCTCCAGCTGTCAGTACCTCAGTGGCCTCAGAAACCACCTTCTTTGTTCACATCGGGAAACTGAGTCTCAGAGATGGTAGGGTTTACCCAGATCAAGGCAGTCACAGGACTTAGCAGGATCTGGAAAGGCCCATCCTGTGGCCCTGCCCAGTCAACTGCTCGCAGCTCACCCGTATTGATGACCTTCTGGATGACCTTGGCCACTTGGCCCTTGAGCAGGGAGTTGAGCATCTTGACTAGGAGGATGAGGCAGGTGCACAGCAGCACCAGGGATCCTGCCAGCAGGATGAGCCCCACAGCCAGGTCCGGTAGGCCAGTGTCCACAAAGATGTGGTTGCCTGCAGGGGGTGGAGCTCCTGACAGCTGACCCCACACCTGGCTCCCAGGTCCCCACCTTTGCCACCCAGTTGGGCTCTGATCCTAAGGCCCCATCTCAGGCTCCTTGAGCCTCAACACCGGAGCTTGACCCAGGCTCAGGAGCTGGGCTAGTTGACAGCCATGCTTCCTGGGGCTGGACACAATAGTGGCTGTGTGGGATTGCCCTGCCACTGCTAGGCTCTGCCCCTGCCATGCAGGACACCTCCCATGTTGCAGGCACTTACATTTCTCCATGGTGGCATTTCCAAGGGTCTGGCTGGAGTTGGCCTCTGCTCTGGACATGGAGGTGGGAGCCTAGATCAGGAGGAGGGTGACTTAGTGAATTAGGAAAACACAGCCTGAGGTTGGGGCTGAGATGGGAGTTAGGGAGAGATGGGGAAGATGGAGATGGGCCTCCTGCTCTGTGACCATGGATGGGTCTCTTGCCCTCTCTGAGCCTGTCTCTTCCACTGAGGACATGTGGATGAAAGTGCCTGCCACACAAGAATCTGGTCCTCTGTGTGTTCTGCCCTGTCACTCCACTGGCCCAGCTCTCCCTGGGGCCACATCCAGTGGCTTCCTGTCTTTCTTTTCCTCCCTCTCTCAGTGGCATTGGGTGCTGCTGAACATGTTCCTCTTTTTCTGAAAACTCCCCCTTCCTCATCTTTTATTACCCATCCCTTTCTCGGTGCCCCTTCCCCAGCATCCTGGCTCCTTCCTCTCCTCCAAGACACCCTTAGCTCAAGCTCCATTCTCCTCTAGATCAATTCCTTATCCTCAGGGGGTGTAAGGGGACAGAGGGCCCAGCCCACACGTCTCTTCTGCCCACCTACTGTCAGTGAGACAAAGGGGCTCCCCAGGGAGGCCCTACAATTCAGAAGGCCACAGGTCCGGGCCGGTAACCTAAGTGAGCAGCTCGGGCTGTGTGTGGAAGAGGTGGGGAGAGTTTCTGCTGGGCCTGTAGAGTCAGCAGTAGCTACTCAGCTCCTGATCACTGTCACCATCCAGGGACGCAGCCTAGTGTGGCTAAATTGCCCAATTTCTATGAGAAAAGCCACAACTCTGAAGTTCTAGATGAAATCTCCCAATCTGGGCCAGGTGCAGTGTGGCTCATGGCTGTAATCCCAGCACTTTGGGGGGCTGAGGTGAGAGGATTACTCGAGGCCAGGAGTGGGAGGCCATCTTGGGCAACATAGCAAGACCTTGTCTCCACAAAGAAAATTAGGGCATGGTGGTGTACACCTGTAGTCCTAGCTACTCAGGAGGTTGGAGCAGGAGGATCTCTTGAGCCCAGGTGGTCGAGGCTGGAGTGAGCTATGATCATGCCCCTGCACTCCAGCTTGAGTGACAGAGCAAGACCTTATCTCAAAAAATGAAAAACTCCCGAAAGCAACAAACTCCCAATCTGTAAATATTGGCGACCACTTTGAGTTATCTTTTACAATTCAATGAAGGTCAGCAGAAGCAGGCCAGTCTGGCCTGTGGACAACTCATTTGTAGCCTTGTTGGGTTAAGAAGTTATTTATTTATTTATTTATTTATTTTGAGACAGAGTTTTTGTTCTGTTGCCCAGTCTGGAGTCCAGTGGCACAATCTCGGCTCACTGCAACCTCCGCCTCCTGGGTTCAAGCGATTCTCCCGCTTCCACCTCCCGAGTAGCTAGGGTTACAGGCCCCTGCCACCACGCCCAGCTAATTTTTTGTATTTTTAGTAGAGATGGGGTTTCGCCATGTTGGCCAGGCTGATCTCGAACTCCTGACCTCAGGTGATTCACCCACCTCGGCCTCCCAAGGTGCTGGGATTACAGGTGTGAGCCACCATGCTGGCCAAGGTAAGAACTTTTATGGCGTCTGGTGTAACATCCGGGTTTATTTTAGCGGGATGTGCTCCCTTGAATGGGGCAATGTGCTCTTCTGTGCTCCCAGTTCGCCACATCAGGGCCTTGGGGACCCATCAAGACTGGGCCTGAATGGCAGGCCAAGAAGCCTGGAAAAAATAGGCTGCGATGGGCTAGATGAGAAAACCAGGCTGGGAAAGCAACGGTAACTGCTGCGAGGGTAAGGGAGAGAGAGAGCCAGGTGTTTGCTGTTAGGCAGATCTGAGTTCAAATCCTGCTTCTTATACCAACCACCCTGGGTAAGCCATGCCACCTCTCAGAGCCTGTTTTCTCTAACGCAGGATAATAGAGGAGCTGCTGTAAAGGTTACAGGGGGAATGTGTTTAAAGCGCTCATCACAGGGCTTGGCTCATCATGAGCCTTCGGTAAACTGTCTTCTGATATGGAGTGACCCTCTCCCTCGCTGGGCCCGTTCAGGATCACATGGTTGGGAGGCTGTGTGTGTGACTGACTTCCTAGGTCAGGACCAGTGGCCCCTGCAGATGAACCTGAGAACCCTAGCCCTGTTGGGGAGGAGCCTGCTGGACCTTCCTGGGAGTACCCAGCCTGGATGCTGAGGTAGCAGACAACCCCTTGAATGAGTAGGTGCCTGGTCAACGTGTGCCCCACTGACCTAACCTGGGCTGGGCCCAGTGGTCTCTGTGGGGAGGACTGTGGGACCCTGCGAAGGCTGGAGGAGAATGGGGAACTTTACTGGGGTCCCAACTTAGGGCTGGCAGAGGCAGCAGCAGGGCCAAGCCCTCTGGGTTTTTAGAACCTTGACCTTCTTGCCTGGGACTGTGTGGCCCTGGCTGGGAGCCCAGAGACCCTAAAGTACAAGAGAGGAAGGTAAAGCTGGCAGGAGGGACAAAGCCAGGCAGAGAGTGAACTGCCGGGAGGGAGCAGGCCCTGGGGCTTCCCTGTGGGGCAGAGGGAGAAGATGGAAACTCCAGCTTAGATAAAAGAGCTGGGAGGCCCAGGATCTGGGGGCATCTTCCCAAGATGTGCCCATCCCTGCCTGGGCCTGGGGTGGGGTAGGAGAGGCTGGAGGGGCCTGAAGCGGGTGGTGGGCTCTGTGGGAAGAACAGAATGGGCCTGTGGACAGCCCTGGGCCCATACCCCAGCTGAGCCGTTCCCAGCTGTGTGTCACCAGAGCAAACACTTAGCCTCTCTGGGCCTCAGTTTCCTCCTCTGCAGCATGAAGTCCATAATGCTACCCACCTTTTCCCAGGGGCTAGTTGGAAGCATTTTGGAAGAGGGAGTTGGGATTTAAGTGCCTATAGGGACACCCTAAATTAAAGAGGCCCCTTCTGGGGACTGAAGGAGGTGATTAAGCTCACAGGAGACTGTCAGGATGTGGGCCAGCGCAGCAGTTTCCCCCTCAGAGGAAGGGGAGCTCTAGGGCCTTTGTTCTTCTGGAAGCCGAGGGAGAGCACTGTGCCAGCAGCACCACCTGGTGGCGAAAAGGAGAACTTCTCCTTAGAGCAACACCCGCTATCTCTGGAGTCGTCTCCACGTGGCTATGGTCACCTGGTGGCCTTCAGGCCTGATGGGCAGCATGGGAAGCAGACATACATAGTAGAATGTCAGACCGGTGAGTGAGAGAGGCAACGAGATAGTCAGGATTCTACCAGGATTTGTATCCTACCTCAATTACATGGACTTGGGCAAGCCACTGCACTTCTCTGGGGCTCAGTGCTCCTCGTCTGTAAAATGGGGACGTGATAATCCCTGCCTCCCAGGTTGCAAGTCCTCAAAAGATGCTTGTTTAATCCAGGCAGGTATAGTTGACAGTCCACAGTGTGGCCACATAAGAAGGTGATTCCCAGGACGGTGTCAGGGTCCCGGGAGACTCAAGTGTCTGATCACTCAACTGCCGCTGCTGCTGCTTTCCCCATCTGGTAGGCCTTGGACTTGCCTCCTCTCCCTGGTGCATAGCTTCCCTGGAGACTGTTTCGGGCTGGTTCAGGTCCAGCATGGTGAAAGTTGGCGTCAATGGGAACAGGTTGGAAGGGAGCACGGGGAGACTCTGTGGCCCGTCTTTGGGCAGGAAGAGCCAGGACGCACTTCACACTTTGCAAGACCAAGCACATCCACTGCTGTGTGAGTCACACTCCTTCGGGGCGCTGTCCCAGAAAGGGGATGAAAGTGAGAGCTTGGGTCCCACCCACCAGCTACTCTCCAAGCCGAGGAAATGAGACCCTGCCCTGCAGAAAGCGTTTAAGGAAAGCATTTCCTGGTAGAGTGAGGAAGAGAAACCAGCTGGACAAGTGTCAGCTGCAGCCGTAGAGAAAGGCCCAAGGGCGGCCTCCCCAGAGTGAACCTGGGTGAGGATGACTTCAAGTGAGGACGTGGAGGCTGCTGGTTGAGATCTGCCGGAAGCTGCAGTAGGTGGCCGGCAGGGAGCTCAGGGGCAGTGAGGAACAGAGCTGTCTTCCATGGCTTGCTTTTTGCGAAGATCAAAGTGTGTGATTTCTCTCCCTTCCAGATTTTGCTATGAAGTAGAGAGGCTTGTGGTGAGTCAGAGAGCACTAAGAGTGCTCAGAGAGCTCGTGAGAAAGTGGTTGATGTATTAAAGAGGTCATGAAGTCAGCGTAAAAGCTGCCCGCAGGGGTTTTTTTTTATGTAAGGCTGCTTTGAACACTCAGAGGCTGAGCTGGAGCAACTTCAGATGCAAAGGAGCATCGCAGGGCGAGTCAGATGAGTGTTTTCTGTTCGCACCAGGGTAAAGGTCCAGTCACAAGAAGCAGCAAGGGGAAGGGGAAGGGGAAGGGGAAGGGGAAGGGCTTGTGCTGTGCTGTGCTGTGCTGTGGCTTGGATTTCCTCGTATCTCATTGTAAATGGAGTTATGTCTCACATGCAAGCATCAGGGAGAAGCAAATATGGTGCATTGTGGTTTGGATGAAGCATTTGCCTTTTCACAGCTGAGTAAGGAAGTGTGCTAATTGCCTGCTTCCTCATCAGCCTGGCATAATGGGTGGTCCATGAGCATCCACTTGATTCAAACAGATCTTCCCAGTATTAGAAGCAGCAGAAACAGTGCAGAAGGACAAGGGACTCCCGCCTGTGGCAGTCTCCAGGAGAAGGAACCCCCGATGCCAGCACAAGCGGCTGTTAACATCTCCAAGGAGTTCTCCACGCAGCTCACCTTCCTGTTACTTTCCTTGGTATCCTTATAGCACTCTGCCTCTTCCCCACGTTACCTGGGTCCCAAAACATGGCCCAGCTGAGTCACTAACCCCTCTAGGGTGCTCAGGCCCTGACATGGTAGGATAAGCTCTGGCACGTTTCTTAGCCTCTCTGAACCTGTGTCTCTACCTGTGAAACCCAAGGGTTGCGCTGGATCAGCGGTTCTCAAACTTGAGCACTGAGCACACCTAGAGGAACTGCTGAAGCATAGGCCATTGGCCCCGCTCCCAGGGGTTTCCAGATTCAGTAGGTCTAGGGAAGGGCAGGGTGATTTGCATCTCTAATAGGTTCCCACACGGCACACAAGATGCTGGCCTGGGACCACACTTCAAGAACCACTGGGCTAGATCAATTACATAACAACTTTAATTGATTGGTGATGTCTGCCTAAGGCGATGTGGGAAGTTGGGAGGAATTAGCAATGTTAACTGTAAGCACAGTAGAAGGGCCACATATTTGCCCTCTCCTGGCTAAATGATCTTCAAGGTCTATCTGGAGCATTTTGAACAGACAATGAAACCAAGAGTCTGAAGAGGGAGTCCTCTTACCTGGGGTTAGGCCTGGGACTCACCTGTAAGGAGTCTGGGTGGCACCAGATCTGGATGAGACTGTGGTTCCTCAGGGACTCATCACCAGTGGCAATGCTGGTTATCACAGACTCGTCCAGCTGTGGGCAAGATGTGGGCAGGGGGAGTGAAGGAGGCTGGGTCCCTTGTTACCCCCACCCTCACCCCATGCCAGGCCCTGCTGTCACCTGGATGATGAGCTTCGTGAAGGGCTCTGTGATGATCTTGAGCAGGTCAGGAGCATCACGGCCACCATGGATGTTGAAGGAGGCCACCACAAGTCGAGTGATGTGGTGCAGGTAGCCAGTGGCAGCCTCCAGGGGCAGCAGGACCAGCACTGACAGCCAGTTAAAGCAGTCATGCACCGTGGCCCCCGCGAAGGCCCTGGGCAGGGAGGCCACATTGCAAGGCAGGCTCGAGCCAGTGCACAGTCACGCCTGGGGTTCCTGGCATCTGGGGCTGTCCTCCCCCAGGCACGAGCCCCCAACCCCCAGCCCCCCTCACCGCCGGAAGTCAGTCCTGTCCCCCGCCTGCATCAGGGCCACGATGGTGTTGGTGACAGAGGTGCCGATGTTGGAGCCCATGATGATGGGGATGGCAGAGCTCACCTCCAGCACTGGTAGAAGAGAAGACGTCCTAATGAATTTGACGGTCACCCAGCTCCTGCACCACCACAACTCCTGTCAGGCCCCCCACCCACGTCCCAGTCCCCAGTGGCCGCTCCTGCCATGCTGCTGAGTCTGCCTAACGTTGGCGTCACAGGTGCATGTGGGCACGGGCTGTGCGTTTACAGGTGTGTGCATTCATCCATGCGAGTAGATGTACACGTGCTGCACATGGTGTATGGATGTGAACGTGTGTGCGTGTGAGGCCTTCGTTATGAGGGCTCGTGGGCTCATGTCCTATGTGCAAATAGAGATTTGTGCTTGTGTGTGCACACATGCCCCAGAGTGTGATGGTTAGTTTTTTTGTTTGTTTGTTTTGAGACAGAGTCTCGCTCTGTCGCCCAGGCTGGAGTGCAGTGGCATGATCTCGGCTCACTGCAAGCTCTGCCTCCTGGGTTCATGCCATTCTCCTGCCTCAGCCTCCTGAGTAGCTGGGACTGCAGACACCTGCCACCACGCCTGGCTAATGCTTTTTGGTTTTTGTTGTTTTTTTTTTTTGTATTTTTAGTAGAGACAGGGTTTCACCGTGTTAGCCAGGGTGGTCTCGATCTACTGACCTCGTGATCTGCCCCCCTCAGCCTCCCAAAGTGCTGGGATTACAGGCATGAGCCACTGCGCCCGGCCAGTGATGGTTAGTTTTATGTGTCAACTTAGCTAGGCTGTGGTACCCAGTTATTCAACCCAACACTAGCCTGGGTGTTCTGTAAGGTGTTTTGTAGATGCAATTCACGTCTACAGTCAGCTGACTTTAAGAAAAGGAGATTATCCTTGGTAACCTGGGTCAGCCTAATCCAATAGAATGAAAGGCCTCAAGCAGAACTGAGGCTTCCCTGAGAAAGGAGAAACGCTGCCCTGTCTGGACTGCAGTGTCGGCGCCCACCTGAGAGTTCCCGCCTGCCCTTCCAATGCCCTGGCCTACGGATTCCTGACTTGCCCAGACAAACTACCATCGGGGAAGCCAGTTCCTTGCCATAAATCATCTGGGTCACATACAGCTACAGTTGGGCTCCTCTCATGTCCCTGGCTGATACAGGAGTCAAGCTGAATGGAGGCCAGCCTTACTGGGGTCACGCTCCCCATTTGCCACCCTTCCCAGCTCCTGGGGTGCCCCTCCAAGCTCTTCCCCACCCTGGTGGGCCAACTCACAGCCAGAGGAGACCATGCTGACGATGATGGATGTGGAGGTGCTGGAGCTCTGCACCAGCACGGTCACCAGGATCCCCACCACCAGCCCGGCCACCGGGTTGGACAGGATGGCGTTATCCTTGAAGATGTCACCAGCCACCTTCCCTGGGGAGCATGAGCCAGCGTTGTCCAAGGCCCTTCAGGAACCCCTCCCAGGTCTCCTCCACCCGGGCCCTACCTCCAGCCAGCTGGAAGGCCGAGCTGAGCATGTCCAGGGAGCAGACGAAGAGGTAGAGGAAGGTGAGCATCAGTGGCACCTTGAGCAGCATGGCGCCAGCCTGGCGCAGCTTGGGGACCAGCCTGGACTCTGGATGGGGGAAGCCATGAGCATAGTGGGCAGAGGCCAGGGCAGGGACTGCTGCCGCCTCTGCCACCCCCAGCCCAGGCCCACCTGGCTTCTGCTCCTCCTCCAGGGCCAGCTTGGCAGGCAGTGGTTCATGGCGCTCCAGGACCTCCCCACAGGGGCAGGTGTGCTCAGCAAGGGCCACAGGGCCCAGGCTGGGGAAGGCATAGGCAGAGGTCCCCGGGATCCTGTGTAGGACTAGGGAGGGAGCCTGGTCAGGAGCCCCAGGGCCCCAAAGTGGGGAGGCGGGGAGGAACAGGCGGGGGAAGTGGCCTCATCCGGGATGTGGGCAACCGTGGGCAACCAGGGTCCAGGGTGTGGGAGCAGCACTTACCCTGAGGGCTGGGCACGTAGGCAAAGGCCGTCCCTCGCATCACATGCCCCCCACGGACTGGGAGTGGGGAGACAGCAGGGGACCCCAGCCTCTCTCCGTAGGACAACATCCTGGGCACCCACTATGAGGTCTGCAGGTCAGTGGGTCTCAGCAACGCTGAATGACAATAGCTGTGTCCGGGACACTCATGCCCACACACCCTCACCTGCACAAACCCCCATGGCGCATGATTCCAAATACACACCTAGCAAAGCACACCCTCCATCCTCACCACACACACACACCCCTCCGAGACTCACACGCACAAACACACACCCAGCAAACCACACCCTCCATCATCACCACCACAGCCCTCCGAGACTCACATGCAGACTCACATGTGCACATCTGTGCTGGGCACCTGCATGTGAGTCTCGGAGGGGTGTGTGTGGTGGTGGTGAGGTGATCATTCATTCACCATTCACTCATTCAATGAGTATTATTGAGCTCTAGCCCAGGCTCCGAACCAGAGGCTTGGATATAGCATTGATAAAAGACACTGAGAACTGAGGACGCCCAGCCTGTTTGGGGCTGGAGGGGGCCAGGGAATACGTGGTGTTGGCAGTGGCTGCAGGTGTGGGCTGGGGCTGGGCCGGGCTTCAGTTTTGCCCACCTGGAGAGCAAGGAGGAGCTGCAGACACCTGCCTTCTCATGGGGTCAGCTGGGCACACACGGAGATCCCCTGGGCCGGATCCCGAGTTCCTGGGTTCCCCTCACAATGAATTCCTTTCCCCATCCACCCCCTCAAGGGGCAATGAACAAACACTGACAGGCTTGCCTCAGCCCCCCCTTGTCCCCGCACTGCCCCAGGAGTCTTGGCTATTGGGGTGGAGTGCCCTGATCTGCCTCAGCACTCCCCGCATTGTCCCAGCGTCCTTGGCTGTTGTAGGGGTGTGAAGAGTTGAATTCAAGTCCTGAAGGAGCAGGAGTCCTTTTTTTTTTTTTTTTTGAGATGGAGTTTCACTCTTACCGCCCAGGCTGGAGTGCAGTGGCACAATCTTGGCTCACTGCAACCTCTGCCTCGTGGGTTCAAGCGATTCTCCTGCCTCAGCCTCCCAAGTAGCTGGGATTACAGGTGCCTGCCACCACACCTGGCTAATTTTTTGTATTTTTAGTGCAAACTCGACCTCAGGTGATCCGCCCACTCGGCTTCCCAAAGTGCTGGGATTACAGGTGGGAGCCACCGCGATTGGCTGGACTGACATGTTATATGGGGCGCGGTGGGGGTGGGCGCAGATAGGACACAGATGAAGGGGCTGGGGTGCTGGGCTGTTTCCTACTCAGAGCTGGGGGTGGGGTTGGGATGTGAGGGTCCTGGGCTCACCTTAGAATTCTGTGTTTCAGCTTCTGCTCAGCAGCTCAATGAAGCCTCCAGGACCCTGAGGAGAACTGAGACCCTCCTCTTTATACTCTTGGGTCAAGGGCAAAGTCCCTGGAACCCTAGCTGCCCTCCCTCTGTCCCCCAATTAACCTCACCCCTGAGATTCCTCCCAGTTAATTGCTAATCGTCAGCTCTGCATGGGGAATCTATGGTCAGGTTCTTCCCATCAACCACGACCCAGACACATCCCCCGCCTGCAGGCAGAGACCCTGATGCCACTCAGCACCTTGTTCCCAGGGTCCCCTCGTTCCTGGCCTGACAGGACTCCCCAGGGAATGACCCAAACATCCTATGGCCTTCGGAGGTTGCAGTGAGCCAAGATCGTGCCACTGCACTCCAGCCTGGGTGACAGAGTGAGACTGTCTCAGAAAAACCAAACCAAACCAAACAAAAACATCCTATGGCCTTGCCAAGCGTCGGGGTGTCTGTAAGTCTCCCAGGGGGAGCTCAGAGGAGAGGGAGTGTGAGATGAGGACCTAAGCTGGAAAGGCCGTGGAATGTTGAATCGTGGCAGGTCTCTAATGCCCGACCATGGGTCCAGGATGTGAGTCTGAGTGAATGTGGAGCCGCTGGCCAGACTGGGATGGGCCTGATCTGCCTTTTAGAATGGCCCCCGGGGTGGAACCCGGATATATGGAAGGGAGCCTGGAAGCGGAGGGGCCAGTTAAGAGGCTAATGGTCCAGGCAGGAGATGATGAGGCCTGAACTCCGATGGGAACGGAGGGGCTGGGGAGGACAGGTGCATCCCAGGGACATCTGACCAGTAGAATTGGTGACGGGGAGGGAGAGAGGAAAAGGAAATAGATGGGAGTCGGGTCTCTGGATCTTTGGCTAGGGCTGGGTTCATGCCCAGGTAGGAGGGTGTCGCTGAGTCACGGAAATGCAATCAGTTCTCAGTTCTTGTGTCAGAATCTCTGGGTCCTTGGGCTTGAAGGTGCTGTTAATGTCACATCGAGTGTCTCCACCTATGAGCAAACTGACACCCCCACAGCGGGCCCAGAGACCCCGGCCCACGTGACCTGTTTCTCTCCATTCCCCCGTGCAGTTCAGACCCTTGGCAGGAGCAGCTGAATCCAAGGTGCTCCTGGTGAACTGGGGGTGTTTCTCCTTTTTAATAAGGTTGTGCTTTTTGATATTTTTGAAGTTTGCCTTCCCTGCTGTCACGGAGCTCTGGGTTTAGTGGGGGAGGCAGTTAGCTATCGATCAAATCCATCAAGAGATATAATTCCAAAATGCTGCTGATTTACACAGCCACCACTTCTAAAGATTTATTTTGGGGCTACAGCCCTAGTGAAAGTGAGAAAATGCTGGATCTGACCAGAGCTGCTGTTGGGACTCATACAAGCAGCAGAGAAGGCAGCTCCATTCCAGCACCAACGTATCTCTTGCCAGCCTCTCTGCCATTTCAGCACCTCCCTGCCTACTGCCTGCCTCCTCCCTGGCCAGTGACAGAGTCTGTGTGTCCCCCTGGGTGGTGAGTCCCACCTTGTCTGTGCACCTGGGCTCTGGCCATGGCCTCCCCAGACCTTTTCTGGGCTGAGAGCCTGCCTGGTTGGGGGTGTCTCGCGTTGAGAAAGGAACCCAGCAGGAGGAGCTGTTTTGGAGGGAAGGTGCCAAGCTCCGTCTGCTCAGGCTTTCTGAGCGGCCTCTGGCACGAGCAGTTGGCTCTGCAAGCCAGAAGCACGCACTGTGCTTCTCACCCCAAACCTGGGCCTCCTCCTTCTTCCTGATCTTGGTGAGCGGCACACCGTCCATCCATCTGGGTCGGGCACCAAGCAGACATCCTTGCTGTTTCCTTCCCCTCCACTTCCTCGTTTCCAACTCAGTCCTCAATTCTCCCAATTTTATTGCTCCAGGAGCTCCCTGATCTTTTGCTGTTAGCCATCTCTGTGGCCACCTCCCTGGACTGGGCCTGTCATCTCCCCTGGGTCATTGCGGTCACTTCCCAAGTGCTCTGTCCATTTCTGCCCTTGCTGCCCCTGATCCATGCTCCAAAGCAGCAGACAGCAATCTTTTCAAAATGCCAAACTAGGCCGGGCGCGGTGGCTCACGCCTGTAATCCCAGCACTTTGGGAGGCCAAGGCAGGTGGATCACCTGAGGTCAGGAGTTCGAGACCAGCCTGGCCAACATGGTGAAACCCCATGTCTACTAAAAATACAAAAAAATTAGCGGGGCGTGGTGGCGGGCACCCGTAATCCCAGTTACTCGGGAGGCTGAGGCAGGAGAATCACTTGAACTCAGGAGGCAGAGGTTGCAGTGAGCCGAGATCGCACATTGCACTCCAGCCTGGGCAACAAGAGCAAAACTCTGTCTCAAAAAGAAAAAAAAAAAAAGGCCAAGTTAATCATGTCACCTCCTCTTCCTTTCGAAACCTGCCCCTGCTAACCACTTAGCATAAAGCCCAGGATCCTATAGTAGCCTGGAAGGACCAGGGTGACTTGGCTTCCTACCTGCTTTGCCAGCCTTAACCCGTGCCTGAGAAACTGTACCCCAGGGAGGACATGTACAGGAGGAGAGAAGGGGCCAGGGCCAAGCCCAGAGGAGCACCCACTTTTTTTTTTTTTGAGACAGAGTCTCGCTCTGTCGCCCAGGCTGGAGTGCAGTGGCGCGATCTCAGCTTACTGAAACCTCTGTCTCCCAGGTTCAAGCGATTCTCCTGGTTCAGCCTTCTGAGTAGCTGGGACTACAGGCACCCGCCACCACGCCCAGCTAATTTTTGTATTTTTAGTAGAGACAGGGTTTCACGATGTTGGCCAGGATGGTCTCGATCTCCTGACCTTGTGATCCACCCGCCTCAGCCTCCTAACGTGCTGGGATTACAGGCGTGAGCCACGGCACCTGGCCAGCACCCACATTTAAGGGAGACTGAGAGGAGCAGCCACGGACCAGGAGGAAGCCACCTCAGAAGCCAGGCTGGACCACATTTTGAGAGAGACACCCTGGTTGGCTGGGTCAAGTGCTGCTAAGATGTCAAGTAATCTGAGAACAGAGAGGCTTTAACAACCAAGGGCTGTCAGCCACCTGGGAGGGCATGTTGGGGGAGGAGTCAGCTTGTGATGGTGTGGGAAGGAGCGGGAGGCGGGGGAGCAGAGACAGCATCGCCAGCGTGAATATGAGACGCTGACATATATTAAATTTCATCACACCAGTGAAAACCATTTCTCCGGGAGAGGCATCACTGCTGAACGGAGAGAGAGAGAACGATCCCAAGAACAAATGTGCACATCCAGGAACTGAGCAAGCTGTGGAGGCTGGCACAACCAGCCGTTTCTGCAATTCTTCAGAGCCATGTGCTCCTTAAATGCACAGTTTGCTGCATGTGGGTTTTCCGCAGGACCTAAAGTTGAAGATGGTCAAGGGAAGAAGAACCCTTGAGCATCTTATGCCGGCATTCACACCAGCACAACTGCCATGCACACAGTCATGAGTGTGCACTGCACACGTCGGGGCGCATCCCCTCCAAATCTCAGGCCTGTAATCCCAGCACTTGGAGGCTGAGGTGGGAGGGTCACTTGAGCCCAGGAGTCCAAGACCAGCCTGGGCAACATAGCAAGACACTGCCTCTAAAAAAATTAATAAATAATTAGCCAGGTGTGGTGGCACGCATCTGTAGCTGGGGAGGCTGAGGTGGGAGGATTGCTGAAATCTGGGAAGGCAAGGCTACAGTGAGCTGTGATTGCACCATTGCCCTCCAGCCTGGGTGACGGAGCGAGACCCTGTGTCAAAAACATAAATAAATAAATAAATAAATAAATAAATAAATAAAAGAGGCTGGGTGCGGTGGCTCACGCCTGTAATCCCAGCACTTTGGGAGGCTAAGGCAGGCAGATCACCTGAGGTCAGGAGTTCGAGACCAGCCTGGCCAACATGGTGAAACCCCGTCTCTACTAAAAATACAAACATTAGCCAGGCGTGGTGCCGCGCACCTGTAATCCCAGCTACTTGGGAGACTGAGGCAAGAGAATTGCTTGAACTCAGGAGGTGAAGGTTGCAGTGAGCCAAGATGATGCCACTGCACTCCAGCCTGGGTGACAAGAGTGAAACTCCATCAAAAAAAAAAGAGTGAGAGAGAGAAAGAAGAAAGGAAGGAAGGAAAGAAGGAAGGAAGAGAAAAAAAGAGACAGAAGAAAGGAAAGAAGAAAAAAAGGAAAGAAACAAGAAAGAGGAGAGAGAGAAAGGAAAGAAAGGAAGGAAGGAAGGAAGAAGGAAGGAAGGAAGGAGAGAGAGAAACCGGGTGCGGTGGCTCACGCCTGTAATCCCAGCAATTTAGGAGGCCGAGGCAGGTGGATCACCTGAGGTCGGGAGTTTGAGACCAGCCTGACCAACATGGAGAAACTCCGTCTCTATTAAAAATACAAAAAATTAGCCGGGCATGGTGGCCCATGCCTGTAATCCCAGCTACTTGGGAGGCTGAGGCAGGAGAATTGCTTGAACCCGGGAGGCGGAGATTGTGGTGAGCCGAGATCACGCCATTGTACTCCAGCCTGGGTAACAGAGCAAGACTCTGTCTCAAAAAAAAAAAAAAAAAAAAAAAAAAAGGAAAGAGAGAGAGAGAAAGAAAGAGAAAGAAAGAAAAGAATGAAAGAAAGAGAAAGAAGGAAGAAGGAAGGAAGGAAAGAAAGAAAGAGAGAGAAAGAAAGAAAGAAAGAAGGAAAGAAAGAGGGAAAGAGAAAGAAAGGAAGGAAGGAAAGAAAGGAAAGAGAGAAAGAAAGAAAGAGCATTCTGTCCATGACCTGGATTTTCATTTTGGGGGGATGGGAAACTGACTAATAACCAGCATAACCTCATAACAGCGTAACAGGCTTTCCCATCAGTGTAGTTTGAGAGCTCCTACCTCTTCTCACAAGCATGTTATGTATTCAACAAACATCTAAGCTCCACGATGAGTCAGCACAGTGCTGTACGTTGGGTGTATGGCAGTGAACGTCTCATCCCGGCATTCAGACCAGCACAATTGCCATGCACACAGTCACGAGTGTGCGCTGCACACATCAGGGGCACATCCCCTCTATATCTCTTGTCAAAAAAGTGGTTCTCACCGGTGGGTTCCCTTTGGGTAACAAAGCAATGGCTTTCCTGGCCTCCTTGACTTTGTCCTCTCTTGGAGAGCCTGGACTTCAACAGAGCTGCCTGGCCCCAGCACAGAGCAGGCAAGGCCCTGAAACATCGTCTCTTCCAAGTTCTATTTTCCAGATAGGGGCCCAAGGCTAAAATAAATGCTATGGGTCCAGGGCAGGGTTGGCTGACCTGTGAATGCCTCGTGCCTGTTTAGGGGATAAGTGCCCTGCGTGAATTATTAATCTTGGTGGCCAAGGCACTGGTCACTCATTTACTGATAAGGCCAAAGTCTGTGGCCAAAAGAGCTGAGGCTGCTTTGGGCTTTTCTCAGAAGTCACCTCTTCCCCTGCAGCTCGCTTCCACATATGGCTCTAGCCTATCACACTGGCCTTAGGACCAGGCCAGAGAGGGAGGCTGACAGCATGCTACCAAGGCGGGCCCCGGCTCTGGTGTCCAGGTCCGGACCTGAAGCTCTGAGGTCTGGCTTTAGACTTCAGGTCTTAGGCTCTGTATTTCAGGCCTGGAGCTCATCTCCAGGTTCTGGGATCTTCTCCCGGCTAGGAACTCCAGGCTCTGCACTCTAAATTCTCAGGTTCAAGCTCTGGGTTCTGGGCTCTGGGCTCTGAGACCCAGTCCCCTGGCCCTAGTTTCTGGGTTCGGGTGTCAAGCTTGGGGCTCTGGTTCTAGACACTGGGCTCCAAATTCTGGGCTCCAGGCTCTGATTCCATATTCCACACTGCAGGTTCTGAGCTTCAGGCTCTTGGCTCCAGCTTCCGGGTTCTGGGCTCCAACTTCCAGTTCCACACTCCTGGCTCCAGGTTGTGGTCTGGGTTCCAGGTTCCTTCAGCTCCCCAGCACTGGGTCAGGAACACAGTGACCTCCCTGGCTAGTGGGGTTATCCCCACCTACCCTTCTTAGCTAGCTGGGACTTCATGCTGGCAGCCAGCGCCCTAGGCCAGCCTGAGGGGTGATGCTGGTTCTATGGCAGTCCTCCCTTTGCTTTCTGTCCCTGGTCTAACCCCAAGCCAGTTCTCTGGAGACAGGTGCTAAGATGGTTACTGAGCACCCCTTGCCCAGACCCTACAGTTTTCACAGTCCACATGGACACATTCATGTTCCCAGCTCTTCCTGAGCCCACCAGGCCCACCAAGGATGTGAATGGTGCCCCCTGGAGTTGGGCAGTTCCTGATCCTGTGCTCAGCCTGAGCTGCATCTGATTCAATGTAACGAACCAAGTGTGTTCCCCGCAACCTGGGCCTTTGTCTCCCCATGGTAGCTGACTTCCAGCTTCTTCTACACCCGCTCAAAAGCCAGGGTCACCTGACTACCAGGCTAGACACCCTGCGGGGTGCATCTTGTGATCACCTCCCTGGGGGTTGGGGCTGTTGCCTCAGCACTTCCGGCAGGGGCTCCAGATGAGCAGCCAGTGCCTATTCCTGACTCCTGGAACTGTGGCCCAGAACCCAGGACACTGTGCCCTGTGCTTGCTCTGTGCCCATTTTGTGCCATCCTCTTCCCCAGCCCCAAGACTTGGTGAAGGTGGGGGGAACCAGAGACAAGTAGCAAGATTGTCTCTTGAGGACTTGGAGCCACATGGGCTTGGGTACCCTGCGTGTCCTCAAGAAGGTCATGCCTGTGCTATTAGCCAGTGCCCTCTGCTAAATGGGGTGTTGCAAAGATGCAGAGAGGTCAAAAAACAACAGTGTGTGGGCCAGGCGGGGTGGCTCATGCCTGTAATCCCAGCGCTTTGGGAGGGCGAGGCGGGTGGATCACCTGAGATCAGGAGTTCGAGACCAGCCAGGCCAACATGGTGAAACCCCGTCTCCAAAAATAGAAAAATTAGCTGAGCATGGTAAAAATTAGCTGGACATGGTAAAAATTAGTGGGCGCCTGTAATCCTAGCTACTCGGGAGGCTGAGGCAGGAGAATTGCTTGAACCTGTGGGGCACAGGTTGCAGTGAGCCGAGATCGCACCACTGCACTCCAGCCTGGGTGACAGAGCGAGATTCCATCTCAAAAAAACAAAAAGCAAAACAAACAAACAAACAAAAACAGCGACTGTGTGTGTTCTCCCTTCCTTCACACTGCACACTGGGTGGACGGGCTCCTCCTGGCTTCCCACCTGGTGGGGTTGGGGAGTGGCTCCACCATCTTTTCTGACCACCCATAAGTCAGCTCAGAGCAGTGGCTGTGAAACAGGCCCATGGGCTGACCAGCTGGTGCTCCTTACCCCTGCCGCAGGTCTGAAGGAGGAGGCCATGGGCCTGGGCCTCTCTCCCAGCAGATGGGGCCTGGCCAGGCAAGGAGGTGAGGATTCTGGGAGCACAGAAACTGGGAGGAAGGAAGCAGTTCCCCCTCAGCCCAGGGCTGCTTCAGGGGGTGTGTTGGGAAAAGAGTCTCAGAGGAAATCATGGCAGAGGGGCACACTCCACCAACTAAAATGGGCCGAGAGGGGTGGTGGGCTCCAGCCCCCGAAGGAAGGACTGGGCTCTACCAAAGAATGGTGGACCATCAGGGACAAAGAGGGATCTTGGGGAGTCCTTCGCATTATTGTAATGATTAAAAATTGTATCCTTAAAAAAATTAAAGCTAAGATGAAAGTCTCTTTTGACCACTACCCCCAGTCCTGGTCCCCTTCCCGTCTCGTTAGTTTGGTGATTCTCCTGCCTCAGCCTCCCAGGTAGCTGAGATTATAGGTGTCTGCTAATTTTTTATCGTGCCTGGCTAATTTTTACCATACCCAGCTAATTTTTACCATGCCCGGCTAATTTTTCTATTTTTAGTAGAGATGGGGTTGGCCAGGCTGGTCTCGAACTCCTGACCTCAGGTGATCCACCCGCCTCACCCTCCCAAAGTGCTGGGATTACAGGCGTGACCCACGGCGACCGGCCCACACACTGTTGTTTGTTGACTTCTCTGCATCTTTGGAGAACATTCTCTCTCCTTTCCCTACCCTTGTAAGTGCCTGTGCGCTTGTGGTTTATATAAAGTTATGCCATGTGTATTGCTGTGCTTTATTTCACAGTACAACAGCACATCTTGGAGGATTTTCCACATTAGAACACGCTGTACCCAGTTCTTTGTCTGCTGTGTGGTACTGCAGAGCGTGGACACGCTACAGTGTATTTTATTAGGTCCACCCCCAGCCACATAGAGTTGTTTGTTTTCGGGTCACAGATAACCCTGCGGGGATAGGCCTCTTTGTGCCCGGGAGTGAGTGATTCTCTAGTGGCATCACTGAGGTCACACACTGTTTTTAATTTTTGGCAGAAACTCCCAAACTGTCCCCCTGGAGTAGCCATATCAAAGCACTCTCCTGGGGCCAGGCGTGGTGGCTCACGCCTGTAATCCCAGCACTTTGGAAGGCTGAGGCAGGTGGATCATGAGGTCAGGAGTTCGAGACCAGCATGGCCAACATGGTGAAGCCCCGTCTCTACTAAAGATACAAAAAAAAAAAAAAAATTAGCTGGGTGTGGTGGCACGTGCCTGTAATCCCAGATACTCGGGAGGCTGAGGCAGGAGAATTGCTTGAATCCAGGAGGTGGAGGTTGCAGTGAGCCGAGATTGCACCATTGCACTCCAGCCTGGGCAACAGGGTGAGACTCCATCTCAAAAAACAGAACAAAACAAAACACACACATAAAACAAACAAACAAAAAACCACAAAGTGCTCTCCTGGGAGAGGACCTGGCTCCCCATCGGGGATTTCTGCAGCATCTAGGCCCCCTGGGGTGTGTCCCCATCAGACAGCCTGGGTGCTGGTGAAGCTCCCGTGACAACTCCTTCCAGGTTCCTGGGCTAGTCACTTACCCTCTTGCAGCCTGAGTTGGTCTTCACCAGGTTGTTTTGTTGTGAAGGCAAAACATGAGCTAAAGGATGGACCTCAGTAATGTGAACTTCAGTTCACATTGGGGACCTCAGTAAATGTGAATTCCTGCACCTGCAGGGCTGACCTCTGTGCATGCTCTTCTCCCTGGCCCCTAACCCTTTATCATGGGGCAATCCCATTGGTCCCTAACAGTAGCTGGCATCATTGCCGGGCCCACAGAAGTACAGGACTAGGTGAAGGGTGGGCTTGCCCTGCGGGATCTGTTAACTTTGGAGAGACAGCCTATCTCTCACCTCTCTATCCTGGAGAACATGGAAGGGTGTCTGTCTCCTCCCACAAGGGAGAAAGTTCTGTGGCTGGTCAGAGAAGGGACACGGGCTTGTCTCCCTACCCCAACCTCTGGCCACACACTGTGAGGGTGCTATGCAGTCCCCTGCCAGGACCACCAATGCCCTGCTGCCAACGCATGCTTTGCTAAGACTATGTGAGACTGTAGGGTCATTTATCAGCCCACTAGGCCAAGGGGATAGAGTGGTGATTAAGATGGACAAGGTCGGCCAGGCGCAGTGGCTCATGTTTGTAATCCCAGCACTTTGGGAGGCCTAGGCGGGTGGATCACTAGAAGTCAGGAGTTCGAGACCAGCCTGGCCACCATGATAAAACCCCATCTCTACTAAAAATACAAAAATTAACTGGGCATGGTGGTGCATGCCTATGATCCCAGCTACTCAGGAGGCTGAGGCAGGAGAATCGCTTGAACCCAGGAGGTGGAGGTTGCAGTGAGCCGAGATCGAGCCGCTGCACTCCAGTCTAGGCAACAGAGTGAGACTCCATCTCAAAAAAAAAAAAAAAGATGGACAAGGTTTCTACCATCGCAGCATGAGTATCATCATATTGTCAGCACGAGTATCAATCAGTAAACAAGGTAATTGCACAGTGGGATAACTACTGCAAATTTAGAAAACTGGCTAGAATGATAGAGAACAGAGTCAGGGAGCCCATCCCTGGCTATACTGGGTGACTAGAGAAGGATCTTCTGAGGTGTTTAAACAGAGATCTTCAATGAGGCAGGACTTTTGTAGTTGCAGGTCTTAAAAACCTCTCATGGTAACAAGCACAGACACGAAAAGGATTTATTGGCTTGCAAAAGGAGAAAAGCAAGGAGTGTTTTATTTCAGGTATAGCTGGATTTCGTCAGGAATCTTCCTTCATCTTTTAGTCTTGCTCTCCAGTGTTGGCTGCATTCACATGCAGGTTCGCTCCCTAAGGGTCCTTTCTACAAACCCCAGGAGACGGTAGAAAATGACCGGGACTGGGACTCTGATTGGAACACCTGAGGTCAGAGGACTATGTCTGAACCAAATTCTGGCCAGGGAAAGGTACTACTCTGATTGGCTAGTGGAATGGAGTACGCTGATTGGCCAGTGGAATGGAGTATTCTGATCAGCCAGGCTTGCCAGGGATCCGGTTATGCCAGCCAAACAAAATGGGCTGAGGGGGCAGAGGTGTGAAGCTCCCATAGTGGGACAGGGTGGCTGGCAAACCCCACAGATTTCCAGGAGGAGGAGGAGCCAGTTGACTGCGCACGGGGCAGGTAAGGGGAGTTCCTGGCAGAGGAGACAGCGAGTGCAAAGATTCCAATGGGGAAGGCAACGTGACCTGTTTGAGGCAGTCAGGAGACACCCCTCACTCTCTCAGGTGCCTTCTCCTGGCCCCTACACCCCCTAGCTTCCTGTTGCAGCACTTACCTCTCTGGGCTGGAACCCAGTCTGGCTTCTCTCCCCGCAGTCTGGGGCCCTCCTTCTGGGAGGTCCTCCTTGCCTCCCACAGTGAGGGGTTTGGACTTCCAGCTAGACCACCCAGCTAAAGCAGGTAAGAGTGAGAACCTGCCCCTGAGGGGCCAGGTGCGGTGGCTCACGCCTGTAATCCCAACACTTTAGGAGACCGAGGCAGGCGGCTCACAAGGTCAGGAGATCGAGACCATCCTGGCTAACACGGTGAAACCCCGTCTCTACTAAAAATACAAAAAATTAGCTGGGCACGGTGGCGGGGGCCTGTAGTCCCAGCTACTCAGGAGGCTGAGGCAGGAGAATGGCGTGAACCCTGGAGGCGAAGCTTGCAGTGAGCCAAGATGGCCAAGATCGCGCCACTGCACTCTAGCCTGGGCGACAGAGGGAGACTCCGTCTCAAAAAAAAAAAAGAGAGAGAACCTGCCCCTGCTACAACAATCAGTGTCCCCCTTATAGACCTTTGGTGCCCTCAAAGGATTCTCCAGTTATGTGTGCAGAGACACTCAGTCCCCAGTAGAAGCAGAGAACAGGACCAGAATGATGTACTCAGATCCACAGAGACCACAGTACAACAGCAACATGATGGAGAGGCACAGCTCCCCACAGGGTTCTTCACCCCCACACCTCTCCCCGCCCTCTCTCTCACCTCCACACCATGACAGGTCTCACTCTGTCATCCAGGCTGGAGTGCGGTGGCACGATCTCGGCTCACTGCAACCTTCGCCTTCCGGGCTCAAGTGATCCTCTTCCACCTGTCTCCCAAGTAGCTGGGACCACAGGCATGCACCACCACACCCAGGTAATTTTTTGTATTTTTGGTAGAGACAGAGTTTTGACATGTTGCCCAGACTGGTCTCAAACTCCTGAGCTCAAGCGATCCACCCCCACCCCCCTTGGTCTCCCAAAGTGCTGGGATTACAGGTGTGAGCCACCTCACCCAGCTCCCATATTCTTAAAAAAAAAAATACTATAAGATATTCACACACCACCCCATATACTGTGCAGTCAGGAAGAGAGGTTCTGAAAACAGGAAGTCAGGAGGCACATCCTGAGGTCCCCAAGAGTTTCCTGGCACTGACCTTGGTGACAGAAGTAGTGTGTTTTGAGGGTGGGGGAAGCCACAGGACAGTCTGGCACACAAGGAAGACAACTCATGGCAGAATAATAATAATTATTATAATAACAGTATCATACATCAAGGACAAACCCAGCTGCCCCAAGCCTACTGCAAAATCTGTATGTACAGTATAGTCTATGTGGGTGGGGTACAGGGCTGCCTGCCTGCACCCTCAAGGCCTTACTCATACCAGCTTCCTGAGGAGGGGCCGGCCCCTCCTCTTGCCCCTGTTGAAGCTTGGCACAGGCTGGGGAGGCTGGCACTGCCAACGCCATCCCTCCATGTTGGGCAAGCCTGTTCCAAGGGGCTGGACTCACCTCCCCCATTGTGGCCTGGCTGCAAGGGATTGGGGGTGAGCTTGTTGAGGGACAAGGCGGTGGCAGCTGTGGGGTGTGTCTCATCTGAGTCCCCTTTCCACCCCTACCGGCTCTTCCTGCGGGCCTGCCCATGGCAGGAAGGGGCCAGGGACACTCATGGCACAGACAGGGCATGCAGAGCGGACCCATGGCATGCTCGGCCCGCCGGGTGCCATGCAGCTGTCCTGGACTGTTGGGTAGCTGTCAGAGGGCTGAGTCGGTGGTGGAGTTCAAGGATCCCCCGATGGGCTGGGCTGCTGATTTGGTCTGTGGTGGGGTCTCCTCGGAGCTGGGCCCTTGGGCGGGCAGCTGCAGAAATTCTGGAAGTACCAGGTCCTCTTTCCTCAGAAGGCCCCTCTGGTCGTGGGCCCCGCTGCTCTGCACCCGGTTCAGCAGCTCCACCAGGCCTGGAGGCAAGCCACAGCATGAGGGTCCCCCCAGCAGACCTGCCTATATGCCAGCCCACGATAGTCCCACTGCCTTACTGTGGCCACTGCCTCCCTGGCCCCAGCACCAATGGCCTGCGGCCCCCTGTTCCAGCCCCTTTGACCCCCCAACCCCCATCCTTCCTGTTCCACGCCCAGTGGCACCCAGCCCCCTGCCTTAGCTCAAGGCTCTCTGATGCCACCCTGAATGGTCCCCAACCCCACTGCCCTAGTCTTTCTGATCCCCAGCTCATCCACCATGTACCTTCGATGTCACAGGTCTGCCGCTTTCCAGTGGCACTACTGGGCACCTTCACCAGAGAACTGGGGGACGCTGGAGGGGGATGGGTGGCCTTATCCTGAGTTCTAGGTGGGCAGCCCTGCGAGAATTTGGGGTCAGAGCCAAAATCGGGAGGGGAGAAGCAGAGGGTGGAAGAGGCCACTCGCCTTTCGCTCACCTGGCTGCGGCAGGGAGATTTGTCACGGGCTTTGGAGATCTTCACACCTGCAGCAGAGAGGGCCACAGTTAGTGTTTGCCTCCCACCTGGACCCCCTTCCTCCTGGGCCACAGCTGTTCCAGATCAAGCCCCGAGGCCAGCGTCCCCTACCTGGAAGAGTGTCCAAAACCAGTCTCTGGGCCGCCACCGAGCTCACTAGCTTCCCCAGATCCAGAGGCTGTTTCTCGCCTGGCTGTGGGGAGAGGTCAGCAGCCCGCGGTACAGGCCTCCGCCCGGCCCCGGCCCCGGCCCCGGCCCCGGCCCCGGCCCCGGCCCCGGCCCCGGCCCGGCCCCGCCCCGCCCCGCCCCGCGGCCCGGAAGCTCACCCGGTGCAGCACCACCTCTAGCGGGCTCAAGCCGTGCTTCTCCAGAATGGGCTGCAGCGCCTCCTGCAGCCGCTTGGTGGGCTTGGCTGAGATTCGTACCACGCGCTCCAGCGCCGTCAGCTCCAGCCTGCGAGGAACCCTCGGGCAGCAGAGGGCCGGAGGGCCGGCCCCCCGCCAAACCCTTCCCAGGACAAACGCGAGGGGGTGGAGCTTGAACTGCAGAAGGTGGGACTGGCTTGTAGGGGGCGGGGTTTGTCCCAGGGGCGGGGCTAGCACGAGGGGCGGGGCCTGGGGAGCCAGGTAGCTAGAACAGGGCCTGAAGGGAGCGTCAGGACCTGGGACCCAGACTTGGGGGCAGGACACTCACTCGAAGGTGATCCTGTTTTCCAGCCGCACTTCCTGATCCGCCAGCACGGTGCAGTCCTGATCCAGGACCAGGGCCTTCTGTGGATGCCAGGCAGGGTCTAAGAGTCCCTCCCCCAACCCCCAGCCATCCCTGTGGGTCTGAGAACAACTTCACGCCCTCCCATGGCCACCACTGGGCTTCCTAGAGGAAGGGATGGAGGGTGGAAGAGCTGTAGGGGAGCAAATGGGTTAAGGTACCAAGCTGGAGTCCAAGCCCAGGAAAGCCAAGGCCAGGGAGAAAAGTGGCAAGAATGCTGGACATTCTTGGGAAAGGACAGAAATTACGAGAAACGTAGCTGCTGGCATGAAATGATAAGGGGCAGGCCTAGATCCGGGATCTCTGGCCTACTCTTTCTGTGCCAGGACAGGCTCTGCCTCCAGGACAGCTGTCTCGTGTCCCTCAGGTGTGTGAAATCCGACCAGACCAGCTGGAAGCATTTCCTCCCTCACCACCCACCTTTGACCAACCACCCTGGCCTGGTCCCATTTTTGACATTTGTCCACTTCTCTCCATTCCCCGCTACTAAGGACACTTCTTGTTTCCTCATTCAAAAAGGGCCCACCCTCAAAACTGCTGTGAAACCAGAGGATGTGAAGCATCTGGCACAATGCCTGGCACACAGTAGGTACATAAACAGTAACTCTCGTGATGACCACCTTCAGAGGCCCCACTGCCTGCTCCAGCCTGATGTGGGGGTTGGGGGCAGCATCTCCCAGGCAGTAGGCTTATGCTGTGCTGCAGGAGCAGGTGGAGTGTGGGTGAGGAAGTTATATTTAGCATGTATGAAAGCCCATCTGGGCTGCTGGCAGCCGCCCTAGCGGCCTGAGAAGAGTGGGCAAAATGCCTCCCACTACTGCCCTCGCACCCCTGCACTCCAGGCCCCTGAACATGCCCCGCAAGTACCCACCTGCAGGCCTTTGCCTAAGCTGTTCCCTCTGCCTGGAATATCCTCCCCCACAGCTCTGCCCATCCACATCTACTGCTGCTTCTTCCATGAAGCCTTCCGGACACCAGCCAGAAATGCCTACCCTCTCCCAAGAGACCTTCTCTGGAGTTTTCACTCTTCCTCCTCCCTGATCACTCCCTGCTTGGCTTACTTTCAGCCTGTGGGCCAGGAGGACAGCCCCAGATCTAGGTTCCTCTCCCCCACACACCTGGCAAGGCCTTAGGACTTGTCTACTAGGTAAATGAAATCCCGATGGCCCCCTGGAAGGTAGCATTCTTCCTTGAGATTCCCCTGACTGAATGGTTTCCTTTAAAGCCAGTTTTCCCCTAGGTCTTCTTTAAAGTTTAAGCTAGTTTGCACCTAAAGGAAAAAGTTCATTGGTTAGGTGCACTTGGGTGCCCCTAGAGGCTAAGGAGGTGAGGGCACCCCACGGATGGCCATTTCCAGGATGGGTCTGTGGGGATGGGAGTCTGGACTCTGGGAATGATGAGGGGCAAACCCCAGCTCCAACAGTGGTTCTCTCCAGTTTTACCTCCCTAAGGTCACCACAATAGGATGATGGATGAAGGTGGAAACCTGGAAGGACATGAGGTGGGGGGTGGGTGGATGTCTGAGTGAGTGAAAGTTGGTGCTGAGGGTGCTTTGGAGTTGGGTTTAGAACTTGAATTGGGGTTGGAGCCATGACTGAGCAGAGACAGAAATGGAGTTGGGGTCAGGATCAGGAAGGAGGTTAGAGTTGGAGCCAGGTCACGTTCCCACCTGTTCATTGCCCACCAGGTAGACCTTGATGTCAGGTAGAGAGAGGCCTCGTTTCTCACAGATCCCTGCCAGCATGTCTCGGATGGTGAGGCCAGGTCTGGCCAGGGCCAAGGAGGCTGTGCCATCGGGCAGGTACACACAGCAGTACTTCCCTGGCCGGCTTTCACTTTCACCCTCCGTGCTCCCAAGGCTCTTCCGGTGGCTCTGATTCATGGCAGGAGTGGGGGAGATTATGTGTACACATGCAAGGGCATGCACACAGGTACACAGAGATAGGTAAGCTTGCTGGGGCTCAAGCATGCACACGCACTCCCAAGGCAGGCAAAGATACGTCCTCCTGCAGGAACACATGTATGCACACCCAGGCATATGGGCACCTAGAGACGGGTCCACCCGCTGATTCCCACACACGTGCTGTGTATACACACCTGGGTGCTGCACATGTGCACACATTTGCCAACTGAGGATGTGTACCCATGACATATATGGGGACCAATGTAGTGAGACAAGTAAGGAGGCTGAAGGGTTGGCTACGCAGAGCAAGCTGGGAGACGCAGTAAGGACAGCAACTTGGAATGAGGGCCACCACGTAAATGGGCCTGAGTAGTGACTCTAGCCCATAGAGCATCTTGTCTTCCCCAACAGTCGGCTCACCTCAGATTTGCTGCTGACGAAGGCTAGGAAGCCAAGGTCCAGGCTGGCGGAGGAGTTGAGGGAGCCCTGAGACTCTCGGCGCAAGGCGGCGTTTGCAGTCCCGCCCAGCTCTAGTGAAGAGGGAGCGATGAACGCGAACAGCCCCCCGCCCTCACCCATCCTCTGCGGAAGCCTGTTCCCCACTGGTGGGCCTTGTTTGGAGCCATCCTGCAGGGGCCCAGGTGTAAATCCCTGGGAGCGACACCACCGTTGGAGATTTCCAAACGTCTGAGGTCTAGCCCAAGACCCGAACCACCCAGGGGAGTGTGGTGGTCACTGGGACCTGGGTTTCAATTTTCACAGACTTACAGACTGTGGGCCACGTAGGAGGAAGGGGGCACTCCCCAAATTTAACCAAACTCCCGCCTTCCCCACATCTCTGTTGCTCGCTCCTGCCCTCACCCCGGCGGAAGGACTTGCGGAGAGGGCGGCCCCCAGGACCCTCAACGGGTGGCAGCTGCCCCAACTCCTCCACACCCAGCGGCAGCGACTTCCCGGGCTTCAGCTTCGGCTTCTGTGGGTACAGGGGAGGCGCTGGCACCGGGCTGGGCCCCAGCCCGCATGCAGACCGTGGGCACAGACTCGCAGATCTGCACCCGGAGGCGTCCCCTCTTGCACGCGGTCCGCAGGACCCCCTGCCTCGCCCAGTCCCTCGCCCAGTCCCACGCACCTTCCTCGTGGCGTCAGGGCTGCCGAGGCGCGAGGAGCCAGGTTCCCGCAGAGGGCGTCCCTCGGCTTCGGCTAGCAGGCACTCGCGGTACAGCGGGGACTTGACGAAGCGCGCATAGCTGTCGAACTTCATCAAGTTGAAGATCTGCGGGGCGACCCCGGAACAGGTGAGCCGGGGCTGGGGTGGGGGCGCTGGGCTGCCTGCACCCAGGCCGGGTCCTTGGGGCTGGCCCCGCCCCAAACCTAGGGCTGGATTTCCCAAGCCCCGCCCCGACCTCAGTTCCTATACCCACCCCCGGGGTCCAAGCCCGCCCCGAGCTCAGCTAGGCTCCGCCTCTAACTGTCCTTCCCCGTGCCTCTGATACCGCCCTCTGAGCTCCGCCCTGCCTGCCCCGGCATTTGGCTCTGTCTCCGCCTCCAAATTTGCCCCCTCCGCTTTGTAGTTCAGACTCCCCGCCAGGGTCCGACCCCGCCCCTGCTCCTTTTGTCTCCCTTTCAAGGCCAATCCCCCCAGGATCGCCCACCTGAAGCTGCTGTGCCCGAAACATGTCCGGCCGGGGCTCGGCCAGCACCTCCTCGCCAAGCCAGGCCTGACGGTCGATGTTCACTGGGCTCAGCGCCTGGCTGGACAGGAACTCCTGGTAGATGTTGCGGGCCTCCTGAGCTAGCTGAAGGAGGAGGGACAGGAGGAGTTGGTCAGGGAGCGTGGCCCAGTTCCCCTCTCCCCAGCCCTCGGCCCCAGCTCCCCCTTCCCCCACCTGCTGGGTATCGCTGGCCGGGATCTGCTGGAAGCGCTCGCAGGCCTTCCAGAAAGTCACGTTTTCCGCGCTGAACTCCTTCTTCAGGAACTCCTGGGAGGGGAAGGAGGGGGAGGCAGGCAGAGACTCAGAGACACAGAGACCAAACTGGGGGATGTGATCAAAAAGATTGGGACAGAGACAGGGCCAAGAGACCAAGCCAGACAGACAGGGCCAGACAGACAGACGGAGCCAGACCGATCTGAAGACAGGGAGAGAAAATGAGAGGCAGAGACAAGGACAGGGAGAAGGAAGAAAAGTTCCCAGCTGGGAGAAGAGGAAGAGGGTGCTGCAGGAAGGCTAGATGAGGAAGCTGACAGAGGACCCCACTCTGGCCAGCCTGAAGCTCCATCCACGCCCTGCCCTCTCCCGTGTCCCCCCTTCCCTTTCCCTACCCCAGGCTTACAGTGAAGTAAGCCAGGCCCAGCGGGTCCTGCAACAGCCGCTCGAAGGACAGGGCCCAGCTGGCCACAGGCTGCTCCTCGGTTGGGAAGGGGCTGCTGGGACCACTGGGGAGGCTGTGGATGCTGAGAGAGCTGCCGCGGCCCTCGCCCTGGCCCTGGGGCCCCGTCGTGCTGCTCAGCTCTGCAGGGGGATGGACAAGTTGGGGTGAGCCTTGCTGCCTTCCCCAGCCCCTGGCACAACCCACCCTCCCCCATGCATCCACTCTGCAGCCATGTTCCCTGGAAAGATAGCAGGTGGCAGGGGTGTCCCCACCCATCTCCACCTCCCTCCTCCCTCCCACTCAGCCAGTTCTCCACACATTCTGTCACTTACCTCCATCTGACACAGCCAGAACCTATAAGAGACCCAACAGAGAAAGTCAGAAGAGCCCAGTGAGGATTCCCAGGGGACAGTTCTGGGCCCGACTCCCAGGAGCTGGAACTGCGTTCTCCTCCACCTGGGCATCCCCGGCCAGGTTCTACTTGGTCAGGGTTTTCCTCAGTCTGCCCCTGGCTCCCCTTCCATCCTGTGCCAACCACTAAGTACTGGGACTTATGGCAGGTACCTTCCAGCAGCCCCTGGTTCCCTCCTCCCCCAGCCCCTGCTGGGTGAGCCAGGTGTGCATAGCATGGTGGGTAGGAACAGACTTTAGTCTCTGCCACTTACTAGCTGTGTAACTTTGGGCAAGTTAGTTAACTTGTTTGCCTCCATCTGTAATCTGTAAATAGGAGATAATGCCTATTTACAAATGGAGGCAAACCATTTGCTTCCATCTTGATGTAAAGATCAAGTCAGTTTAATATATTCACAGCATTGGCTGGACACGGTGGCTCACGCCTGTAATCCCAGCACTTTGGGAGGCCGAGATGGGTGGATCACCTGAGGTCAGGAGTTCGAGACCAGCCTGGCCAACATGGTGAAACCCAGTCTCTACTAAAAATACAAAAAAAAAAAAAAATTAGCTGGATGTGGTTGTGGATGCCTGTAATCCCAGCTACTCGGGAGGCTGAGGCAGGAGAATCGCTTGAACCCAGGAGGCAGAGGTTGCAGTGAGCTGAGATTGTGGCATTGCCCTCCAGCCCGGGTGACAAGAGCAAAGCTCCGTCTCAATAAAAGAAAATCAAATAAAAATATATCCACAGCATCTAGAACATGGGCCAGCATGTGATATGGGCTGTATAAACATGTGCTGTCTTTGAGGAAGGAGAGGTGTCTCTGCAGCCAGTGATCTTACTATCGCACGTGTTGCCTATTGGGCCCAGGGTCCCATTACCACCGTGGGAGGGCACAAGATGCTGGTCTATAGTACAGAGCAGTGGTTCTCAAACTTCAGTGCAGAGTGGGAGGACCCCACCTCTGGAGATTCAGGTTCAGTAGGTCCAAGATGGGGCCTGAGGCTGTCCATTTCTACCAAGCTCCCAGGCGATGCTGATGCTGCTGGTTCAGGGACTACTCTGTGAGTAGTACTGCTGCAGTAACTAACTCCATCCTTGCCCCCAGTGCACAACTCTGGTTTCTCTGGGAATCCCAATCATTAGTGAAACAGAAAAACTCTCCTCTCAAAATGACTCTTGCGGTGGTTTCTCTTGTTTCTCTTTTTACCTTCCTAGCAGCTCCTCCAGCTTCCCCACTATCTCCCACTCATGCAATGTGGCCTCAACCCCTCTCTGGCTCTGTCCTGGGCACTTTGTCCCATCCACAGATCCACAGCTCCAGACACACATAACCAACTTCCTGGTAACGGCTCCAGCGCCTATCACCCCTGACTTGGGGTTAGAGGGCAGGACAGAGGCTCAGGGTGTGCGCGAGGAGGGCAGGGCCAGGCAGCCCAGCGGAGGGGGGCGAGTCCCCCCTCAAATGTCCCACAAGCCCTCAAGCTCCCAAATGGAAGTCCCAAATGGAAGCTCCCTCTGCCTCCACCAAAACACAGTACCAAACCAGCTTCCCTGCCCCCATCTTTCTTCCCATCACCCGGGCTTCCAACATCAGGGCTTGAGTCATCCCCAGTTCCTACTTCCCGCTTACCTCCTACACTTTCACCATGCCCTGTCACAGAAGTTCCTACCACCAGCCCCTTATTCCCATCCCAACTGGAAACAGGCCTGCAAACATCTCCACCCCGGAAAGCCCCCCAACCCCCACCCTCCTGAATGGAACCTTCCTCTCTGTTTCCTACTCCCACCCTGAGAGTATTCAGGTCACAGGGCGGCCATCTGTGGGCCAGATCCGGTCTGCAGATATGTGGGAAATTACTATTACCTTGGCCCTCTCAGGTTTTATTATGATGATTATTATTTTTATTTAAAGGTATTTTCCACATTTAAAAAGCAAGAGATTTTAAATTCCACTTGCTCCGTGAGACTGTAATGCTCCAGCTCCTTCCCAGCAGGACAACCTTGTCCGGGATTGAGCAGCCACCACCTTCCCCAAAAGGGCTTACACTCCTCTCAGAGGCCTCTGGGGCCAGTTTAATGCATTTATGTTACTTGTGGAGGCAGTGGGAGGCAGGCTCAAATTTGGGAGGTCAAATTTGTGCTGTGTGACTTTGGACGAGGTACTTAACCTCTCTGTGCCTCAGTTTTTTCCTCTCTAAAAATGGAGCAAATAATGGTCCTGACTTCGAAGGATTGGTGCGATTAAATGAGTGAAATATATATAAAGAACTCAGAACACTATCGGGCGTGTAGTAAATGTTCAAGGAACGTTACTATTAATGTCGTTCTTGTGTCAGTGTTGATGCCTGACCCCGCTACACATTCGAGTTTGCCACTCCCGCCATAGAAGGAAAGAGCACAGGTGTTGGGGGCGGGGGGCGTCTCTCAGATCCAGATTCAAACCCCAGCCCTGACTTTTTCCAGTTTTACAACTTCGGGCTCCTCCCTGAGCTTCGCTTCCCATCTGGAGCCCGGGAATAAGAAGTTGCAGTGGAGGGCAGCGAGTTAGTGCAGAGCGCGCTGGGCGGGGCGTCGGGCCCAGCGCGCCCCGCCCCCGTCTCCGGCCCCGCCCCTCCTGGCCCTGCTCTCGTGCTCCCCGCTCTGTCCTCCCCGCAGAGTCAAATCCCCCAACGAAAGTCGGTGCTTCCCACGGCGACAGGAGAAAGTCCCCACTCCGAGGGCGGCAGAGGGCTGCGAGGAGGGACGGGACGAAGCCTTTCCCTGCGCGGCCGCAAGGTTCCTCTGCAGCCTGCACCTACCTGCCCGCGCCCGGGCTCCTCCTCCCCCGGCTGCACCGCCACGGTGTTCCCAGCCTCGGAGACGCAGTCATCGCCCTCCCCCAGATCCCCGAGAATCACCCGGACTCGCCCCCCTCCGCTGGGCTGCTTGGCCCTGCCCTCCTCGCGCACACCCTGAGCCTCTGTCCTGCCCTCTAACCCCGAGTCAGGGGTGATAGGCGCTGGAGCTGGCGCCAGCCAGCACTTCAATTTTGTTTGGCCCTCACAGGTTTATTTTCCACGTTCTGCTTAACTGAATGTCGTTAAGTGGGGCTGCCTGCTAGATCCTCCCCAGGCCCCACCCCTCCCCACGGTGCCAACCCGGGCCCTTTCCCTGCCCCCGGAGGCACGTTGCGGTTGCCAGGTTACGGCTAAAACCCTACCTGGGCCTGACTAATGAACCCCCTTCAGCCTCACCCATTTTCCTCCCCCTCACCTCCACCCTACACTTCACCGAACTTTTCTATTTTCCCCACACCCCTGCTTCCGGCTTTGCCATTGCCAGTGCCTGGGTATCTGCTCCTGCTCTTCGCTTGGAATTGCTCCCCGATCTCTGCCCGTTGACATTAGTCGTCCCCAAACACCAGGCCCCTTGAATGCCCCTTCCCACCACGTGCTTATCCACCCATGTCCCGGCCTCTCTCCCTGCCAGTCTGGTCACCCCTGGAGTGCTGGCCTGGTTGGTGGGAGGGGTCAGATCTGAACTCCCTCCTCAAGAAGCACCGTCTTTGCCTCGTGCTCCCAAGCAGCCATCAGGACCCTGGCCTTGGCACCCCTTCACTAGGGACTCTCAGCCCCTGAATGCCACCTGTAGCTCTCCATCCTGAGCCTCTCTTGCCCTGACAGTTGTTGATAGCATAGCTGGAGCTGAAATTGAGTAGGGACAGAAATCTGGAGATGGGTGGGAGTGGGGGTGGAATCCAATTCCAGCTCTGCTATTCGGGAACAAGTAACTTCTCTGAGCTTCAGTTTTCCCTGGGTAGCATGGGGCTCAGCACTCCCAATTTCCTGAGGCTGCTGTGAAGCTTGAATGAGGCCCCATGAGTGAAAGCACCAGGCATGCCACAATCAGAGCAGCACCCCACAGCGGAGTGAGGTGCAGGTGTGCAGGGGCCCTGCAGGGGCTCTGGCCTGCCCTGGCTGCCACTGCAGGGCCTGGGGAAGTTGTGTTGAGCAGGGCTGGCCTCCCCTGCTTCAGCCTGCTTGAGAAGAAGTGGTGAGTGAATGGAGAAAAAGGGGAAGAAAGGGCAAGGAAGGGTGTGGTGGCCAGTGACACACGGACCCAGGCTTGGACCTCGGCCGGTCATATTTTTTTCTTAGGAATTTGGTCCTGGGGGAGCTGCTGGCACCTGAAAATGCTAAGGTGAGAGTAAGGCCCCAATTTCCTGAGCTTTGACTGTGTGGCAGGCACCCTCTGGCAGCACACATTCATGTCCTCCCTCCATCTTTACGGGTATCTTGTGTGGCAGGTATTATTACCCCCATTTTACAGATGAGGAAACTGAGGCCCAAAGAAGCCATGCAGCTGAGATGTGGCAGAACTGAGATTAGAACTCAAGTTTGCCTGATTCTGGAGCCTGAGGCCTCCCCACCCTCTACCCAAGCTGACTCCCTTTGTGGACCAAGGAAGCTTGGAGGCCCAGGGCCTCAGCCCTTGGGGCACAGGTGGGCAAGTCTAATCTGGCATGACCTGCTCAGGGGCTCCTCTTGAACTGTGCCCTCTAGAGGGATCAGACCTTGAAGGAGGGCCAATTTTCTGAGCATCTTCTATGCTGGGCACCCTCTACCATCCTCTTGAGGATTTCATCCTAGCTTGAGGGGCTGCAAGACCCTGTCTGGAGATGTCCACACAGAATCTGGGTGTCTGGTCCCTTCAACTTGAACCAGCCTGTGGAGATGACCCCTGGCCTTGCCCCTGTATAAGGCCACCCTGAACTCGAGTGCCCTGAGCTGGACGCGAGGGACAAAGAGAGAGCTGCATGGGCTTTGCCTTGCAGGTCTTCCTGCCAGGAGGGGAAGACTAACTAGGCCCTCTGACAGGACAGGACAGGCTAACTGCCCCTCCAGGCTTAACTCTCAGCCTCCCCTAGGGCCCTGTCCCTGTGTTTGCCCACAGCCAGGCCTATGCCGTGCCCTCCCTCCTCCAGCTTGCAGACCCTTTAGGGACCGTCTCCTACAACACGGTGCATGGAGCTAGTGGAGAGTCTTGCTCTGTCGCCAGGCTGGAGTGCAGTAGCACGAACTCGGCTCACTGCAACCTCTGCCTCCCAGGTTCAAGCAATTCTCCTGCCTTAGCCTCCCAAGTAGCTGGGACTACAGGCACATACCACCACGCCCAGCTAATTTTTTGTATCTTTAGTAGAGAAGGGGTTTCACCATATTGGCCAGGATGGTCTCGATCTCTTGGCCTCATGATCTGCCCGCCTCGGCCTCCTAAAGTGCTGGGATTAGAGGCGTGAGCAACTGTGCCTGCCTCCTCTCTCCCTCCTTCCCTCCCTCCCTCCCTTCCTTCCATCTTTTTTTTTTTTTTTTTTTTTTTTAATATAGGATCTTGCTCTTTCACCCAGACTGCAGTGCAGTCTGAGTGTGATCACAGCTCACTGCAGCCTTTACCTCCTGGGGTCAAACGATCCTCCCACCTCAGTTTCCCAGTAGCTGGGACTACAGGTGCATACCACCATGCCCAGCTAATTAAAAAGAAGATGGGTCCTCACTATGTTGCCCAGGCTGGTCTCAAACTCCTGGGCTCAAGCGATCCTCCTGCATTGGCCTTCCAAAGTGCTGGGATTCCAGGCTTGAGCCACTGCCTGGTATTTTCACCTGTGTCTTTTGTGCCTTGCCAGACTAGGGGGCAGGGACTAGGGCTGATGGGCCTGGGTCGGGAGTGTCTAGGATAGGGGCAGTGGCAGCACCAAGCAGGCACTAAGGAGGGGTTGTTGAATGAATGAGTGAATAAGTACATGAACAAATGAAAAGGTAAAGAGGCTGTGTGAAGACATCCCTAGGAAGGGGGCTGGGAGATGTCTCCAAGTGACAGGTTTCCTTGCAACTGCCTGACAAGCTGAATGGCAGAGAGGCAAGGCTGACAACTGAAGCTTCCACAGCAGGGAATGATGGTGGTGAGAGGAGAGGTAGGGGAGGACTGGGGCCAGGCAGTTCTGGGGGTTCAGATGCTGACGCTCTACTCTCTGGCTGACCTCGGCACAGCATTTACTTCTCTGAGCCTCCCTTGGGAGGTAACTCATGGAGGGACCAGACATACCTGTCCCCCAGGCGCCCCTCCATCCACATCCGCACCTCAGATCCCAGTGCCTGTCTGGCCCTCCCTGCCCTAGCTGTGCAGGGCCACGGGAAGCTACTCAGTGACCAGCAGGCAGCCAATCTGTGACCCTCGGGATTCTAAGAGGTGGCACAGAGAGTTTGGAACAGGCCCAGGAAGGGCAAAGATAAACCTGTGTGTGACAGTTCTGAGAGGAGCCGGGGCGTCTGTGGGCTTGATGGAACTGGGGGCAGACCTTGGGGCACCCTCCCTGCTCTAGGTGACTTTTGAGTAGAGAAGTCACAGGCTGACACAGAAGGGGCAGGGGCTGGGTCTGTCTCTGGGCCCCCTCTGCTGCCCTGTAGTTCTAGGCACTGTCCCAGAAGCATCAATCCAGTTGCCCTCCCAGGGTGGGCCTGGGGTTAGCCTCCTTGGCTTCCTGGCCCGGTCGCCTAGGCAAGGACGAGCGAAGTGTCATGCCTGTGACATGGGAATGCAAGGGAGGTGGGTTTTCTTTTTGCACTTTCGTTGTGGGGTCGGTACTGCAGACAGTGAGATGGGGGGCTGAGCTGGCTTTGAAGGGTGGCCTCTCTCCCAGCCGGCCAGCCCGGGGCTGGGCAGGAAAGAGATGCTGGAAGAAGAAGAGGTAGAGGCAGGTTTTGGGAACTAAGGGGCAGGAGTGGTGATGGGGCTGCCTCAGCTTCTTGGTGAGGCAGGAGATCTTTGAATTGGGGCTGAAAATGTAGGGGGCACTGGGCTGACAATTATGCAGCCCCCACAATGGGTCAAAGGCCTCATATGCATTATTTCACTCTATCATCTCAACAAGCCTTGAAATTCATTCCAACCTCCTCATTTTAGGGATGAGGAAACTGAGAGCTGGCGAGGACCCTCCCTCCAGTAAGAGAGAATAGAACCAGGACTGGAACCCAGGTCTCTATAGAGCCACTGGCTTTGGCCCGTGATACTAGGCTGGGGCCTGGTGGTGGGCCAGGACACTGGCCTTCCTGAGGTTGTTAAGAGGGACTCTTCCAAGTGAGGGGGGAACCCTAGGGAGAGAAGGGAGGCCCAGCACAGCTTGCCCCATCTGCTGAATGAATGAGAAGAGCCAGATCCTCTGAGGGCAGCTCTGATCTGGGGCTAAGCAGCCAGGGAGAGGGTTAAGGGGTGGGGCAGCTGCAGCCAGGGGGATCTTAGTGCTCAGCCCTTCCTGGAAGCTCAGGAATAGAACAGGCAGAAGCTGCATCAACCTAGTCTGACCCTGCTGCCCCATCCCGGGCTGCCCAAACAATGCTAGTTCTGGCAGGAAGCCTCTGGAGTAGCTCCGGCTGGAGGACACCGACCCAGCAAGAGCTGCCACTAACATGACCTTGGGCACCTGGAGCAGGGGGTGAGGAGGGGAGGACTCAGGCTGAGCGGGATGTAGGGGCTTGAGCCACTGTGGGGATGGGCAGGGGGCAAGGAGCACATCGAGTGTCCCTGAGACCCTGGGATGCAGCCCCAGATGCAGCAGGTGAGGGAGTGGTGGGGGCTGGACCAGAAGCCTGTGCCCGCTCTGGCCTCACTGCCAGGGTTGTACCAGGCTCCCGGCTGGGCCATCTGGAAGGGTCTAGGGGTGAGAGCACCAGGTCCTACCACCTGCTGCTGTCTGTACCCAACTTCTCTCGCCTGCTGGCAGCCCGTGGGCTCTTGCCTGGCCCTGCCGGGTGTGCCTCCTGGGCTCCACCCTGGGTGTGCCCACCCCCTCCTCGTGGCCCTGGCCCGGAGCCCACACTCACCATGCGCCCGTTGGGGACGCCCAGGTGCTTGGGCTTCCCTGGCATGCCGCTGCCGATCAGGGGTCCCCGCCGCGGGGGCTGCCCACCATGGGGACTGTGGGCAGCGCCGGCCAGAGCTTGCACGGTGGCGGGCAGGCAGTGGAGAGAGCCTGACTCGGCTCCTGCGGGCCCTCACATCCTGAAACACCGCTCACTACCTCTTTTCTCTGCCACAGGAAGTGTCTCTATAGAAACCAAACCACAGAAAGAAGCAAGGTCTAAGAGAGCGAACGCCTCTTCCTACACACACACGCGCACACACACACACGTTCACGCACACACACGCCACCAACACACTCCTGGCAGCATCCCGCACGGGCACCAACACAAGGCAGAGGCTTCCGTGTGCCCAGCAAGGAGCCCAGCCTGGTCTGGCCAGGACCAGGGAGCTCTAAGTTCATGCCTGGGCTCACAGCACACGAGTAAACATACCTAGGCACCTTTGTCCACCCTGGGGGCGTTCCTGTGGACATGCACACACGTGCACTGGGACCTGTGTATCCACACGTGTACTTTACTCGGCACACACTTACCTCATACCTACTGTGTGCCAGACAAACATGTGCTCAGTACCCCTCTCCCCGGCAGCTGCACATATGCAGGGTACCTCTAGCCCCAGACACCTACAGGCTCCTTCCATGCATGTGGCCAGGTGTGCAGACAGATGGATAACTTGCCCGCATGGCTGTGCACACACAGACATTCAGGTATGCGTGTCATAAACACATGGGCTCTCCCTTACAAGGGGGACTTGGGTGTATAGTCATGTGCATGCACAGTCCCCTGAAGAGGTGCATGTGACAGGCACACCTGAACATAGGACATATGTATTCCGACACTCCAGTGACATATGTGTAAGCAGATATGATGCACACGCTCACCTACCTAGGTAGGGGACTGGATCACCTATATCTGTGGCCAAAGACTTGAGCGCATTCATACTCACTCAGAAATCCTGCCTTAGTCAACTCAGGCTGCTATAGCAAAAATACCATAGACCAGGTGGGTTAAACAACAAATAAGTATTTCTCACACTTCTGGAGGCTGAGATGTCCAAGGGCAAGCCGCTGGCACATCTGGTATCTAGAGAGGGCCCTCTTCCTGGTTTGCAGACAGCTGTCTTTTTGCCATGCCCTCACGATAGCAAGTGGAGATAAAGGAAGCCAGCTCCCTCCTGTCTCTTTTTATAAGGGCACTAATTCCTAATCCCACCCTAAGGGGTTCTCTTTCATGACCCAATTACCTCTCAAAGGCCCTGTCTCCAAATAACACCTTGCAGGTTAGTGTTTCAACGTATGAATTTTGGGGGATATAAACTTAATTTGATAGCATGTAGTGTTGGCTGAAGGGTGGGCATCCTGCCCTCGGCCCTGACCTGGCCCCAGATGAACTCCAGTTTTAAAAATTTTAGCTAGGGTCCTTGGTTTGCCTCTTTCTCACACATGCGTGTCCCCACTGCAAGGACTTATATTTTCTTCTAAGCGTGGGCTCACTAAGACCCCTCAACTTGCCCACCATTCTGATTTGAGCTCCTCTTTCTCTCTTTTTCTTTCTTTTCTTTTCTTTACTTTTTTTTTTTTTTTTTTGAGACAGAGTCCTGCTCTGTTACTCACCCAGGCTGGAGTGTAGTGGCAGGATCTAGGCTCACTGCAGCCCTGACCTCCTGGGCTCAAGCAATCCTCCCACCTCAGCCTTCCAAGTAGCTGGGACCACAGGTGCATGTCAACGTGACTGTGTAATTTTTTTTTTTGTAGAGATGTCTCCTATGTTGCCCAGACTGGTCTCAAACTCCTGGGCTCAAGCAATCCACCCACCTTAGCCTCCCAAAGTGCTGGGATTACAAGTGTGAGCCATCGTGTCCAGCCTCAGCTAGTCTTTCTGCAGGGACAAGGTGATAGCCACTTCTCCATATTCTACCCTCTGCCCCACTGCCCCTTCTAGGGCTGTGACCTGAACTCTTCAGTGGCAGAAACTGAATAGCTCTTCACCACAAATTCATGTCCTTTTTTCCTGGGCACGTGGCTAACTTTACTTTCCCAGGTTCCCTTGCAGTCAGATGTGGACATGTGACCACTTCTTGCCAATTGAAAATGTGTGGGATGACATGTGTCATTTTTGAGCCAAGGCTTTGAAGAAGTAAGTGTGTGCCCTGCACCCTCCCTCTTTCTCCTTCAGCTGGATGGATAGAGAAGATGAGGAGGCCCAGGGGATTGTGGAACCACAAGAAGGAAAAAGCAGGGTCTGTGTATCAGTGCCTGAAGGCAAGCCACCCATCAACCTGGAAACCAGCTTCAGACCATTATGTAAGTGGGAAGTAAAATTTTTTGAGCCTCCTGACAGATGCACAAACCTTGTAAAAATAGTTAAAAAAAAAAGAAACATCAAAAAAATTTTCAGGTCATTATATACATTAGGGCCTATTTGTTATAGCAGCTAGCACTGCCCTAGTTAACACACTTCTTCTCCCAGCACTGCCTCACCTCTCTCCAGACACCTTGCTTCAGGCCACACAGACAGAGAGATTCAGTCAGACTTGATGTGTGAAAGGGGTTACGGTGGAGGTTGCTTTTGGGCCTGGACCATTGCCAATGGTGGTCTTAATAAGGTGTGTGACTGTTTCAATGTGCCTGTGGGGGTTGTAGGGTGTGTGATATGGGTGAAGACTTCCTGTCTGCTGTGCCATGGATCTGGGCCATTTCCTAGGTGGCTTTACAGTCCTAGTCCTCACAACCACTTTGTGAATGGTGCTTATTATTACCATTTCACAGATCAGGAAACTGAGGCTCAGAGAGAAGTGAGTTGCCCAAGGCTATACATCCTCTTAGAGATCTGCTAAGCTGTGAGTGTGCTTGGGGTGCCTGGAACTGGGCTTTGGCCACCACAGATGCCCACAGCTCATCTTCTTCCTGCCAAAGGACAGTCACAGTCTCTGCCTGGGACTCCCTTTGAAGTTCATACTCTCCTGCAGAGACACCTCTTCCCTTCTCTCCACCATGGATGCCAGTTCTAGCTCTGACCACATCTTCACCACAGCTAGCCCTGGCTGTTCCCATCTCTTAGCCCTTATCTAGTCTTCTCCATGCCATGAGAGTGGTGGAGTACCTCCACCCACAAAGCACCATCCTCGACTTCTCCCTTCCTGGCTGCCCACAGGGCATCAGTTCCTGATTTAGTCTCTGGCTGGGACTTCAGATCCTTCTTCTCTGTGAAGACCTCCTTGGCTTAGGCCTCACCCTCTCTCCCCCGATCATGATGAATCCAGTCTCCCTATTATCCCCGCTCCAATCTCTTCTCCTCACCATAGCTAGAGGAATCCACATTGGTCACTCCCATGCTTAGAAATATCCCATTGAGTTCTGGGAAAAGGCCATGTTCCTTACTTGGGAATTGAAGGCCCTTTGAGTTTTGGCTTCAGCTCCCCCGCAGCCCCCAACTCCAACTTCTCAGCCATTCCAAACTACTTGTATTTCATCTGCTCTCACACATCCCTCCCTAGATTGCAGCTCCTCTTCTCTCTGCTGAGAATGCCTTTACCTTTCCCGGAAAACTCCTACTCATTCTTCATGACCCAATTCCAGGTTCTAGAACAAATATTCATTCTTTCACCAGTTACTTATTAATCACCTCCTATGTGACAAGCACTATTCTAGATGCCAGGGATTCAGTAGTGACCATAGCTGACAAAAATCCCAGCCCCATGAAGGTCCCATGGAATGTGCATGTTTTTGTTTGTATGGGTGCAGATAAATCTCTGGAAGGGGACACTCCTTGCGAGGGGAGTGGCAGAAGACTTTTGTTGTGTCTTTTCTTTTCTTTTCTTTTCTTTTTTTGAGATGGAGTTTCACTCTTGTTGCCCAGGCTGGAGTGCAATGGCACAATTTTGGCTCACTGCAACCTCCGCTTCCTGGGTTCGAGTGATTCTCCTGCCTCAGCCTCCTGAGTAGCTGGGATTATAGGTACCCGCCACCATGGCCGGCTAATTTTTTGTATTTTTAGTAGAAACAGGGTTTCACAATGTTGGCCAGGGTAGTCTCGAACTCCTGACCTCAAGTGATCCACCTGCCTTGGCCTCCCAAAGTGCTGGGATTACAGGTGTGAGCCACCATGCCTGGCTTGTTGTGTCTTGTATGTCTGTTCTCTCTCTGTTTCCATACACACCACAAGAATGTGTGACTTTTTTGAGACAGAGTCTCACTCTGTCACTCAGGCTGGAGTGCAGTGGCAAGATCTTGGCTCACTGCAACCTCCACCTCCCAGGTGCAAGTGATGCTCGTGCCTCAGCCTCCTGAGTAGCTGGGATTACAAGTGTGCACCACCACACCCAGCTAATTTTTTGTAGAGACAGGGTTTCGCTATGTTGGCCAGGCTGGTCTCGAACTCCTAGCCTCAAGTGATCCACCCACCTCGGCCTCCCAAACTACTGGGATTACAGGTGTGAGCCACCGTGCCTGACCAGAATGTGTGACTTTAATAATAAAAAAGCGAACGAAAAATATATGACCAAGAAAAGATTCAGCACTCAATCCTGAATAAGTCCATTCATTCAAGAGGGCAGTTTCTAAAAGGAGCAAGCAACCAACATCCCTCCCTGTGATCTACAACAGGAGTCATTGATTCAAATGTCTGGAGGAGCCAGGCAAGTGCTGTAAACGAGTGACCAGGTGGGGACCAGCTTAGAAGAGGAAGGCATTGGTGGAGGGGCAGTCCCATTCAGCTCCAGCCTATTGTTCTGTTGTGGGAATGTGTGCCTAGATCTTTTGCTGCTGCTTCTTTTTTTTTTTTTTTGGGTAAAAAAACGGAAGTCTGGATTTCTTTTCTTCTTCTTCTTCTTCTTTTTTTTTTTTTTTGTAGAGACAGAGTCTTGCTCTGTCGCCCCGGCTGGAATGCAATGGCGTGATCTCTGCTCACTGCAACCTCTGCCTCCTGGGTTCAAGCAATTCTCCTGCCTCAGCCTCCCGAGTAGCTGGGACTACAGGTGTCCGCCACCACGCCGTTAATTTCTTTTGTATTTTAGTAGAGACGGGGTTTCACCGTGTTGCCCAGGCTGGTCTGAAACTCCTGAGCTCAGGTAATCTGCTCGCCTCTGCCTCCCAAAGTGCTAGGATTACAGGCCTCAGCCACTGAGCTCAGCCGGAAGTCTGGATTTCTGATGTGAATGTACATATTCCGACTTTGTGTGTGTGTGTGTGTGTGTGTGTGTGTGTGTGTGTGTGTGTGACAGAGTCTCGCTCTGTCGCCCAGGCTGGAGTGCAGTGACGCGATTTCGGCTCACTGCAAGCTCTGCCTCCTGGGTTCAAGCCATTCTCCTGGCTCAGCCTCCCGAGTAGCTGGGACTACAGACACCTGCCACCACGCCCGGCTAATTTTTTGTATTTTTTAGTAGAGACGGGGTTTCACCGTGCTAGCCAGGATGGTCTCGATCTCCCGATCTCGTGATCCGCCGGCCTCAGCCTCCCAAAGTGCTGGGATTACAGGCGTGAGCCACCACGCCCAGCCTCTATATTCTGACTTTAAAATACTGGTAGTTAAGCCATTTATTAGAATATTGGCAGGTAAAACAGAGCTCTATTCAGCTGCAGGCCACCAGTTTTCGACCTCTGATTCACAGCTTTCCTGGGCCTTCCATGGACGTTACTTGCTGTACCAGGCACTGCGCTCTTTTGCATAGGGATGAGTTCCAGTCATCACTGGGGTCCCAGGCCAGGATCTGTGTCTGTTCCTCTTGCTTCAACCCGACTAGGCCTGAGGAGTTGAGGGTAGTGGAGGCCCTCAAATAATTGGGAATTCTGAGTCTCCAAAGGCGCGAAGCTGGGGCGCCTGACGGCAGGCACGGCTTAAAGGCTTGCCCAGGGCCACCCGGGGAGGACAAGGGTTGGAATGCAGGACTCCGCCTTCAATTCAGAGCTCCTTTCTCCAGGACTAGAAAAGGTTATTCCAGAGACGGGACTTGCGGCCAGAAGCCCAAGACGTCCTAGTCTTCGCGAATCCGCCCCATTAGAGCGACCGACAAAAACTACAAATTCCAGCATGCCCCGAGTCGCGGACGGCCCTCGCGCTCCCGCCGGCTCCAACCATCCCTCTGCTCCTCATTGGCTCGCAAGCCTAACGTGCTGTTCCGTGACTGGTTACAGCTCTTGTCGCTCGAAAGAACCCATTGCTGGGGCTGGCCGGCGTGTGCCTTGGAGCCTCTAAGGAGATGAAACTGCACTCAACCAGGATGAGAGGCTGCCCGGCCAATGCAGCTGCCGCCCCGTCTGCTGCGGAGGCTTTGCTTTTTGACTCCCTGGCGACAGTAAAGTTGAAGAGCTTCCGGCCGGAGGCCAATAGATGGGACCCCCGGAAGGCGGAAGTTCTAGGGCGGAAGTGGCCGAGAGGAGAGGAGAATGGCGGCGGAAGGCTGGATTTGGCGTTGGGGCTGGGGCCGGCGGTGCCTGGGAAGGCCTGGGCTTCTCGGCCCCGGCCCTGGCCCCACTACACCTCTCTTTCTTCTTTTGTTGTTGGGGTCTGTGACTGCGGATATAACTGACGGCAACAGTGAACATCTCAAGCGGGAGCATTCGCTCATTAAGCCCTACCAAGGTGAAGCCCTTGGGGCGGGAATGAGTGAAGAGTGAGGGCGAGGCTGAACAGGGCTAGGGGAAGGCGTGCCCTTTCTCCTGAGCAGAGCATCTCTGTGGGTTTCCTGCCTCTGGTGAGGCCAGTCCTGGCGTGGCCTCTTAGCACCTGTCTCTTCCCACAGGGGTCGGTTCCAGCTCTATGCCCCTCTGGGACTTCCAGGGCAGCACTATGCTCACGAGCCAGTACGTACGTCTGACCCCTGACGAGCGCAGCAAAGAGGGCTCTATCTGGAACCACCAGGTGAGTGGTTCTCAAGAGGATAGGCGTACTGTGCGGTTGGCTGCTAGTCCCTGCCTCCCGAGCAGCTGAGACCCCAGCTTCGTTTATAGGTTTGCACCTCCGTCCCTGGCCTTTTCCTCATCTCGGTCACACCCACCAATAATAAGAGGCGATGGGTATTGGGTACTTACTATGTGTCAGGAGCTGCGCTTGACACTTTACATCCTCCTCACTTTAAAAGCCATGCGAGATGAGTAATGTTATCTCCATTTTACCCACTGAGAAGCTAAGACTCAGGTTTGAAAGGGCCTTACCCAAAGTTACATAGCCAGAAAGTAGTGGAACTGTCAGGCTGTCTGCCTTGAACCCCCTCAGTAATGGGAAGAACCGAGCGAACTGGATCTTTATTGGGTGTTTTGCTGTGTATTAGGCACTGACCTTGCCATGCCTTATTGCATTTAATTTTCAAACAAGCTGTTTGAAATAGATGGCTTTCATGACTATACAAAGATAACCCAGCTAGCAAATGTCATAAACAGTATTTAAACTCTGATTTGTCTGATCTCTAAGCCCAGCAGTTCACTCGATGTACTTGACTCTTTTCACCTGGACAGTGGAGGAACCCCTTAGAACCCTTTTTGCAATGCTTGGTTGAGGGTCTTGTCATCAGTAGTGTGGAGGGACTGGACCTGTGGGCAGTTCTAGTGTCTGTGACCTTTGCCTCAGAGTATGTAGTATGTAGTATGTGAGCAGTGGCCAATGACAGCTGCTACACAGAATCCACACTGAGGCAGTCAAGGTGAGGAAAAAGGGGAAAGAAGAATAATTTGGGGCTGGGTTACAGCTTGGAGCGGGACCTGCTCCTGCCCCAGCTTGCCTAATCTCAGCCCTTCCCATGGCTTAAGCTGTTGGCCAGTGTTCTAGTTTTCTCCATCACCCTGCTCTCTGATCCCTGCTGGTTGACTTTCTTGTTTAGTTCTGGGAACCCACACTGTCCTTGTGTTGCCTGGTCTGCCCGTCCCCTCTGCTCCTCCTCTCCTTCCTGCCCCGAGCCTCCACACTGCTGTTAGTGGCATCTGCGGATACTTTCTTCAGCTTTCAGTCTGATCCTCAGAGCGTGGAGTCCCCTGTGAAGGGGTAAGCATGCATTATGTCTGCACAATCTGGCCCCTTGTGCATCTCCAGTCATTCTCTGTGTTAATTTTGTTCCAGCCCCCCCTGGCTGCCTTCTTGCCTCAGGACCTTTGCACCTGTTGTTCCCTCTGTCTGGGACACTGCCTCCTGGCTCCTCATGCCTGCTTGGTTCCTTCTCATCTGTTAAGTCTCAATTCAAGTGCCACCCACGCAGACATTTCTTCATTAACCACCCTATCTCCCCCGAGTCACATTCTGTCACATTCTGTCTTAGGGCTTTCAGATATTTTAAAGAAATGATAATTCAGCCTTATATTTTTCATGGAAATGAGTTCAGTATAGCATTATTATTATTTTTTGAAAGCAAGGTGCAAACAGTGCTGGAACTGTAGAAATCAGGAGTAGCCACAAGTAATAGACGCATCTAAGACAGTGGCTTACATTTTGGTTGTAGATAGCTGATGGTTGGCATCATCAGTGGCTCGAGGATGTCACAGGACTGAGAGGCTTCTGCACTTGCCTTCATCGAATTTTCAGTCTGGAGTACAATTGTTTTGCCTTCCTTCCTCCACCTTTCTATTTGGCTCTGCTGATATTCCTGAAACATTTGGAGTGCTTCCTGTAAACTCTGGAAAGAAATGGCTTGGAAATCAGAATTTTCTGTTCAGTGTTTCCCAAGAACTGCCTCTTCCTTTAATGAGCTGGAGAGATGCTTCCTAAACTTTTCCCTTTTTTATCTCCTTCATTCACTCCATCCGGGAGAGGCATGCACTCAGGCGAACATTCCCTGAACACCTGCTGTCTTCTGAGCAGCCATAAAATAGCTCCTGCTGTGGTGCAGGGGGGGTGGTCTAGATGAAGGAGTGGCTCAGAGTTGACTAGAACTCTTAAGTGCCTGGTGGCTGCAGCATAGGACCTGGGGAGGCTGCTCAGGCCCTGTCCTTTTGGGGGTCTTGTGCGGAGGCTGCGGCAGTGGTCTTTAAGCTTTCTTTGCTGTTGTAGCAACCTTTTGAAAAGTTGGCATCAAAAATTGTTTGTCATTAGGTTTAAGTATTTGCAAAGGATGACAGCATATTTTAAATATTGACATTTTAAACTAAAACTGTTCAGTATTTTAAACATTCAGTGGAATCTAAATATTGCAATTTGATATCCACTTTTTTTTTTTTTTTTTTTGAGACGGAGTCTTGTTCTGTCACCCAGGCTGGAGGGCAGTGGCGCAGTCTCGGCTCACTGCAACTTCCGCCTTCCTGGTTCAAGTGATTCTCCTGCCTCAGCCCCCTGAGTAGCTGGAATTACAGGTGTGCACCACCACGCCCAGCTAGTTTTTGTGTTTTTAGTAGAGGTTTTTTTTTTTTTTTTTTTTTTTTTTGAGACAGAGTCATGCTCTATCACCCAGGCTGGAATGCAGTGGTGCGATCTCAGCTCACTGCAACCTCCACCTCACGAGTTCAAGCGATTCTTCTGCCTCAGCCTCCCCAGTAGCTGGGATTACAGGCGCGCACTGCCATGTCCAGCTAATTTTTTGTATTTTTAGTAGAGATGAGGTTTTGCCATGTTTGCGAGGCTGGTCTCCGACTCCTGGCCTCAAGTGATCTGCCCACCTCGGCCTCCCAAAGTGCTAGGATTACAGGTGTGAGCCACTGTGCCTGGCCAGTATGTCAGTTTTTTAATTGAACTTGTACTTTCATTTCCACACAGAATATTATCCTAATGCAATATATTTAATGCTTGAAAATGTTATTCATTAGCCTACCATATTCTTCTGCAAGTAAAATTAATATAATAATTTAAACTTTTCAATTTTGTTGAGACTGAAACTTTTAATATTTTGTTTGAGATTATTATAATTATCTGTACACACTTGATAAAAGTAAATGCATTACACAGTTTTTGAGTAATTATACAAAAGTAAACATTTTTTGAAACATGAGATCTCAGTAGGATGTCACCCCCCACCCCCATCTGGATGGATAATACTGTCAGAATAAGACAAGTTCAGTACCACTTCTACTTTTTGTTTTTATGTACATGAATTCTGAGAAACTGTGTTCTCTTAAATAGTAGTTGGAGATGGGGTTATTTTTAAAATTTTAAATTTCTATTATAGATGGGATCTTACTATGTTGCCCAGTCTTATCTTGAACTCTTGGACTCAAGCAATCTTCCCACCTCAGCCTCTGAGTATCTGGGACACAGGTGCTCACCACCACTGTGCCTGGCACAGCGGGAGTTTTGGTAGAGCAGCATCACTGAATATTTTGATCTTCTTTTGGTTTATAAACCCAACGTCATGCAGTGATCTTTTATCAAAATTTTTGATGATGTTTCGGCTGACTGTTGATTACATCTGCATTCCGTTTCGTTGCAAGCAGAGATGTGGAAACTGCTGAACTGTAAAATAGCCTCTTATTGCCAGGTGATTCTGATGTAGTTGGCCTGGTGTAGGACCAAGGCATTAAGCTTTCTGAGCTCCCCAGGTGGGTTTGCTGTGGGTTAAGAACTGTGGTCATATCGTGTTTGTCCCCAAAAGCAGCTTCTGAATCATTTCCAGCCTGTGCCTTGCCTGCTTAAGATCCTCCAGAGGCCTTCTATTGTCTGTATCATAGTATGTCTCTACTAATCTGCAGTTTTAATCTGGGGTCATGAAGACTTTCCAAGGCCTGCGTAGTCCTGGAGGAGTCTGTTTCCAGGTCCTCCACTGTCTCATGTGCTCATTCCTGAAACCAGCCTCCCCGTGAACATGCTGGGAATGGGTGTGTGGGTTTTCCTTTCCCACCTCCCTCACTCAGTTGCCCTTCTGCTCTGAGGTCAGCCTCCCAACAGCCTGGTCTTTCTTCAGGGTGTTGTCCCCAGGTGCAGAAAACTCCTGGGCACCAAAGAGACCATTTGAAATCTGGTTTCTGGGCTGACTTTTGTACATGTGAGATATTTTTTTTTAAAGTTTTCAAATATATGAGGGCTATTTTAGTTATCTTTTAAAATTGTTTATTATTGTTAGATAGCTGATGGAATTGCATCATGGTCAGATTTTTTGGACGCGTTCTGTTTGTGCTTATGAATGTGGATTCTCTACTTGTTGACTACAGTGTGCCACGTAGGTTCTTTAGGTCAAACTTGCTTTCTGAGCTTCCCAGGTGGGTCTGCTGTGCAGCCAGGGTTAAGATTGAGTTCGGATCTTCTCTAGCTTTCCTCATGTTTTTGTCTGCTTGCTTTTATAAGTTACTAAGAGAGCTTTGTTAAAAATTTCTGTGTATGGCTGGGCAAGGTGACACGTGCCTGTAAGTGTCAGCTACTGGGGAGGCTGAGGCAGGAGGATTGCTTGAGTCAAGGAGTTCAAAACCAGCCCAGGCAGCATAGTAAGACCCCATCTCAAAAAAAAAAAAAGTGTTAAAAAAATTTCTGTATATGGATTTGTCTGCATCTTTGTAGTTCTGTCAGTTTCTGTTTTATATGTTTTGAGGCCAAATTAGGTACATACAAAAACTTAGATTTATTATATCTGTAGGTAAATGGAATCTTTTATCATTAAGAAGAACCCCTTTTTACATTTTGTTATGGGTATAGCTATAGAAGCTTGCTTTTTTTAAAAAAAAAACAACAACCGGTAATCAATTTATTAAAATAGTCAACTTTAAATATCTGCAATGGTGACTTCCACCTCAACTCCTGGCTCAATACTGATGGAAGTAATCTGCTTAATCTCAGAAGGACTGTGGAGGTCAGTGAGCCACTTGTGGATTCTCATCTGGAAACGATCCCGTGTGTTAGAACCTTCACAAGGAGTTTTTCTTGTGGTGATTCTCGAAGCCTTGATAGGCGTTCCAGCTGGTCTTTTCACTTTGAGATTCTTTTCCTTTGCTCCTCTGATCAAGTCAGCACACACCTTTTCTGGGGATTCTATGTTGCAGCTCATTAAAGTGATTCAGATTCAGTGAATTGTCACCTCTGGCTCCGCAGGTTTTCTTCAGGTATCTTTAAAGCCGTGGGTGGGCCGGGTGCGGTGGCTCACGCCTGTAATCCCAGCACTTTGGGAGGCCGAGGCAGGCAGATCACCTGAGGTCGGGAGTTCGAGACCATCCTGGCCAACACGGTGAAACCCCGTCTCTATTAAAAATACAAAAATTAGCTGGGTGTGGTGGCGGGCGCTTGTAGTCCCAGTTACTCTGGAGGCTGAGGCAGGAGAATTGCTTGAACCTGGGAGGCAGAAGTAGCAGAGAGCTGAGATTATGCCACTGCACTCCAGCCTGGGCGACAGAGCGAGACTGTCTCAAAAAATAAATAAATAAATAAATAAATAAATAAATAAATAAATAAATAAATGCATGCCATGGCTGCTGCGAGCCTTCCTGACCAACTTGTTCCTCAGCCAGAGCAAACAGTGGTGAGGCAGGAGCAGGAGCGGGCAGACCACAGCTCTGCAGCGCCTGTGGCCCTGTCTTCCTGAAGGAGCAGAAGCTTGCTTTTGGTTAGTGTTTGCATGATACATTTTTCCTGTCCTTTTACTTTTTCCCATTTCTTTATGTTTTAGCGTTTTCTCTTATAAATGGTATATTACTAGGCTTCAGGGGTGTTGTTTTTATGTTGTAAATGCATATAACATAAAATTTACCACTTTAACCCTTTTTACCTTTAAATCCATTAATTTATGAAACTATTTTCTTCAGTAGGCTACACATTGACATTGAAAGAGTGGCTTTTTTTTTTTTTTTTTTTTTTTAGACAGGGTCTTAATCTGTCACCTAGGCTGGAATGCAATGGTGTAATCACGGCTCACTGCAGCCTCGGTCTCCTGGGTGTGATCCTCCCACCTCAGCCTCCTGAGTAGCTGGGACTACAGGCGCACACCACCATGCCTGGCTAATTTTTTTTTTTTTTTTTTGGTAGAAGTAGGGTTTCACCATGTTGACTAGGCTGGTCGTGAACTCTGGGCTCAAGCAGTCCACCCACCTTGCCCTCCCAGAGTGCTGGGATTACAGGCATGAGCCACTGCGCCCAGCCTGACAATGGCATTTAAAAGATGTCATGGCTATGTAAAAAAATGTTTCCACTGTTGTACGTACACATCTGCACATGCAAGAAAATTTCTCAAATCTTTCTTCCTTTTCTTTTCTCTTCTCTTCTTTCTCTTCTTTTCTTTTCTTTTCTTTTTTTGAGACAGGGTCTCACTCTGTTGCCCAGGCTGGAGTGCAGTGGCGCGATCTCGGCTCACCACAACCTCTGCCTCCCGGGTTCAAGTGATTTTCCTGCCTCAGCCTCCCTAGTAGCTGGGACTACAGGCGCCCGCCACCGCACCCGGCTAATTTTTGTATTTTTAGTAGGACGAGGTTTCACCATGTTGGCCAGGCTTGGTCTTGAGCTCCTGACCTCAGGTGATCTGCCTGCCTCGGCCTCCCAAAGTGCTGGGATTACAGGTGTGAGCCACTGCATCTGGTCAAATTTCTCAAATATTTCTATTGTGATAAAATGTATGTAACACAGGCTGGGCGCGGTGGCTCACGCCTATAATCCCAGCACTTTGGGAGACCGAGGTAGGTGGATCACGAGGTCAGGAGATCAAGACCATCCTGGCCAACATGGTGAAACCCCGTCTCTACTAAAAATACAACTAATTAGCTGGTCATGGTGGCGTGTTCCTGTAATCCCAGCTACTCAGGAGGCTGAGGCAGGAGAATTGAACCAGGGAGGCAGAGGTTGCAGTGAGCTGAGATCACGCCACTGCACTCCACCCTGGCGACAGAGCAAGACTCTGTCTCAAAAAAAAAAAAAAAAAAAAAAGTAACAAAGCGTACCATTTTAACCAGTTTTTAAAATTAAAAAAAAATTTTTTTTTTTTTAGAGATGGGGGGGGTCTCACTTTGTCACGGAGGCTGGAGTGCAGTGGTGCAATCCTAGCTCATTGCAGCCTCGAACTCCTGGAGTCCAGTGATCCTCCTGCTTAGTGTCCTGAGTAGCTGGGATTACAAGGCATGTGCTATTGTGCCTGGCTAATTTTTTTTTTTTTAATTTTTTGTAGAGCTGGGGTCTCACTATGCTGCCCCGGGCTGGTCTCGAACTCCTGGCCTCAAGCAATCCTCCTGCCTTGGCCTCCCAAAGTGCTGGGATTACAGGCGTGAGCTACTGCGCCTGGCCCATTTTAACCATTTTTAAGTGTACAGGTCAGTGGCATTAAGTGCATTCACATTGCTGTGTAGCCATCACCACCGTCTGTCTCCAGAACTCTTTGCTCATCCCAACTGAAACTCTCTACCCATTTAACAATCACTCCCATCCCCACAGTCCCTGGTAACCACCATTCTACCTCATCTCTGTAAATTTGACTATTCTAGGCATCTCACATAAATGATAAATGGAGGCATACAATATTTGTCTTCTTTGACTTATTTTACTGAGCATATGTTGAACGTTCCTCCATACTGTAGTATATGTCAGTACTGCATTCCTTTTTGTTGCTGAGTAATATTCGTGTGTGTGTGTGTGTGTGTGTGTGTGTGTCTAGACCACATTCCGTGTATTCATCTATTCGTAATGGACACTTGGGTTGTTTCCATCTGTTGCCATTGTGAATAGTGCTGCAGTGAACATTGGTATACAAGTATCTGTTTGAATCCTACTTTCAGTTCTTTTGGGTATATACCCAGGAAGTAGAATCTCTGGATCATACGGTCATTCTATTTTTACTTTTTTGAGGACTACCAAACGGTTTTCTGTAGCAACTGCACCATTTTATATTCCCACCAGCAATGCACAAGGATTCCAATTTCTCCACATCCTTGCCAACATTTGTTATTATTTATTTATTTATTGAGATGAAGTCTCGCCCTGTCGCCAGGCTGGAGTGCAGTGGCGCGATCTCGGCTCGCTGGAACCTCTGCCTCCCGGGTTCAAGTGATTTTCCTGCCTCAGCCTCCCGAATAGCTGGGACTACAGGTGCCTGCCACCATGCCCAGTTAATTTTTTTAATATTTTTAGTAGAGACAGGGTTTCACCGTGTTAGCCAGGACGGTCTCCATCTCTTGACCTCGTGATCTGCCCGCCTTGGCCTCCCAAAGTGCTGGGACTACAGGCATGAGCCACCGCGCCCGGCCTAGGGTTTTTTAATATATTCTAGATATTAATCCCTTATCAGATATGTGATTTGCAAATATTTTCTCCTATTCTGTGGGTTGTCTTTTCACCCTCTTGATCATGCTCTTTGATGTACAAAAATTTTAGTTTTAGTGAAGTACAATTTATCTTTTTTTTTTTTTTGTCTGTGCTTTTGGTGCTATATCCAAGAAATCTTTACTAAATCCAGTGTCATGAACATTTTTTCCCTAGATTTTCTTCTAAGAGTTTTAAAGGGTTTTTTTGTTGGTTTGTTTATTGTTTTTTGAGGCAGGGTCTCATTTTATTGCCTAGGCCGGAGTGCAGTGGCGTGAACACGGCTCACTGCAGCCTTGACCTCTCCAGCTCAAGTGATCCTCCTGCCTCAGCCCCACAAGTAGCTGGGACTACAGGCATGCGCAGTCAGGCCCAGCTAATTTTTGTATTTTTTTGTAGAGACAGGTTTTCACCGTGTTGCCTGGGCTAGTCTTGAACTTCTGCGCTCTGGTGATCCACCTGCCTCAGCCTCCCAAAGTGTTTCAGATTACAGGTGTGAGCCACTGCAACCGGCCAGGTTTGAGCTCTTAAGTTTAGATCTCTGATCTTTATATACTTATTATTATTTTTTTTTATAGAGATGGAGTCTTGCTGTGTTGCCCAGGCTGGTCTTGAACTCCTTGGCTCAAGCAAACCTCCCATGATGGCCTCCCAAGGTGCTGGGACTACAGGTATGAGCTACTGCACCTGGCCTCTTTACTTTTCAAATTAAACTTTTTATTTTGACATAATTATAAATTCACATGCCGTTGCAGGAAATAATACAGAGATCCTAGGTGCCCTTGGGTTTTGTTTTTTTATTTAGCATTTAGTCCATTTACATTTAATGAAATATGATACATTTGGGTTTAATCTGCTATCTTACTCTATATATTCAAATTGCCTATTCTCTGTTCATTTTTCTCTCTAGTCTTCTTTTAGGTTAATTTTTATTATCCTATTTTTCCTCTTCTATTAGCTTGAAAGTTATATGCTCTTTTCTCAGTTTTAAGTGGTCACCCTAGAATTTAAAGCAGGCATTCATGTTGTACCAAAGACTAATGATAATGTGTACTTTACCTTCTTCCTGGACAGTGCAAGGATCCTAACACACTTTAACTCCATTTATTGTTGTCATTTGTTTTAATTATTTCTGTTTTAAATCACACAACCCATTGTTTTGTGCAGTCAGATATTTAGATTTTCACCCTTATAGTCACTGTATTTGTTGTTCTTCGTTCCTTCTGGAATCTGACTTTACATCTGGATGGGGATCATTTTCTTTCTCCCTGAAGAATGAAAGTGTGAGTCTGCTAATGAATTCTTTTGGTTTTTGTTTGTTTGTCTCAAAATATCTTTATTTTACCTTCATTCTTGAAGGATACATTTGCTGAGTATAGAATCCCATGCTGGCTGTTACCTTCCTGTATCTCCAAACATATCAGTCATCTGCCTTCTTGCTCCCGCTGTTCCCGCCGTGAAGCCGGGTGTCAGGCTGATTATTGCTCCTGTGAGAGTCATTGCCTTTTTTCCCTCTGGTTCCTTTTTCTTTAAGATTATTATTTTTTTTATGGCCGGGCGCGGTGGCTCACGCCTGTAATCCCAGCACTTTGGGAGGCCGAGACGGGCGGATCACCTTAGGTCGGGAGTTCAAGACCAGCCTGACCAACATGGAGAAACCCCGTCTCTACTAAAAATACAAAATTAGCCAGGCGTAGTGGCGCATGCCTGTAATCCCAGCTCCTCAGGAGGCTGAGGCAGGAGAATCGCTTGAACCCAGGAGGCAGAGGTTGCAGTGAGCCAAGATCACGCCATTGCACTCCAGCCTGGGCAACAAGAGCGAAACTCTGTCTCACAAAAAAAAAAAAAAAAAGAAAAAAAAAGGCTGGGCGTGGTGGCTCACATCTGTAATCTCAGCACTTTGGGAGGCTGAGGTGGGCGGATCACAAGGTCAGGAGATCGTGACCATCCTGGCTAACACGGTGAAACCCTGTCTCTACTAAAAATACAAAAAAATTAGCCGGGTGTGGTGGCGGGCGCCTGTAGTCCCAACTACTGGGGAGGCTGAGGCAGGAGAATGGCGTGAACCCGGGAGGCAGAGCTCGCAGTGAGCAGAGATTGTGCCACTGCACTCCAGCCTGGGCGACAGAGTGAGTCTGATTTTTTTTGAGAAAGAGTCTCACTCTGTTGCCCAGGCTGGAATGCAGTGGCACAATCTCGGCTCACTGCAACCTCCACCTCCCAGATTCAAGCAGTTCTCCCGCCTCAGCCTCCCAAGTAGCTGGAATTACAGGCATGTACCACCACGCCTGGCTAATTTTTGTATTTTTAGTAGAGACGGGGTTTCACCATGTTGGCCAGGCTGGCCTCAACCTCAAGTGATCCACCTGCCTCAGCCTCCCAAAGTGCTGAGATTACAGGCGTGAGCCACTGCACCCGGCCAAGATTCTCTGTTTTTAAGGAGAACAATAGACACTCCAGACTAGATGGGGGAGGACGTGGGTTGAAAAACTACCTATTGGGTACTGTTCTCCCTGCCTGGGTGCAGTATACCCATGTAACCTGCACATGTAGCCCCTGTATCTAAAATAAAAGTTGAAATTGAAAAGAAAGAAAAAATGCTTTTGTGGCACACGTTCTCAGGATTGCCTGGGGCTGTACCACGGGGAAAAAAATTAGAAAAAAATAGTTTCATGTTAAAAAAAACTTTTTTGTTGTTGTTGCTGTTTCCTCTATCCCTCCCTTCTTTTTTTGTGCCTAAATATGGTTTTCTTTTTAGTCATCTCCTTTGGTTTGTAGGACTTTTCAAGTTTGTGGCGTGTCTTTGAATCAGTTTTAGTAAGTGCTTAGACGTCTTTAAATATTCCTTTGCCTTCATTTCTCACATCTTACTCGGGAATCCCAATTATATGAGTCTTAGCCTCTCTCACTGTTTCCTCTGTCTCTTACCCACAATTCTATATCTTCCATTCTTTTGTGCTCTCGGGGACTCGGCCTAGGTTTTGTTATCTGGGTTCCTGGTGCCCAGAGTGGGAGCAGTGAGTCTGTGGCATCAATGAATGCATGAAGCATATTGCTCAAATTGGGGTACAGTGTTTTTTATTTTTCTGTGATCACAGAAGTAATATGTTTATTATACATTATTCAAACATGGTAAACAGTCGCCATAATCCCCCTCCCAGAATTACCCATCATTAATACTGGTTCATGTTCCTTTACTCCTGTATTCATTTCTCTTCATGCTCATCTGCATTGGACGTTAATGGTCTTTTTCACAGTTGCCAGTCTGACAGGTCAACATCCTGTTTGGGTTTGCCTTTGTGATGGGTCTTTGTTTAATCACTTGCTTACATACCCATCTGCAGACTTCCTGAAAGTGGATTCTTGTCACCGTGTGTGTTGACACCTTAGTTTTCACAAGCGACTTCCTGATGCCTAAGGCAAGGCTTTCTCCCTTGGCGTAGGCGGTGCCCATCCCTGCCCCAGCTCACATGGTGGTGCCCTTGAGTCCCAGAGCACGACCCTGACCAGCTCTCATCCCCAGCGCTGGTACCACACTTAGGCTGGGCTGGGGAGGTGAACTGGTGAAGGGCTGGGTTTTGGAGTCAGCCAGACCTGGGCTTGAGGCCAGCAGCACTGACCCGGCCTGATTTTCCTCACTTGGGAAGGTTGGTTAGCAGGGTGGATGTGGCAGTGGATGTGGGTGACCAGAAAGGGGCTGGTGCAATTTATGTGAAAGGCCTGCAGGCCGCGGGAAGTACTGAAGGCAGAGCAGAGCTCTCGGAGTCAGAAAACCCTGCATGTGAATCCAGACAGTCCGCTGAGCAGAGCTCTCGGAGTCAGAAAGCCCTGCGCGTGAGTCCAGACAGTCCACTGAGCTGCTCTGGACAAGTTGTTACACCTCTGAATTTGTTTTCCTGTAAAATACTTTGCTCAAATAGGAGTTGTAACGTCTGCAGAAGGTTCCAGGGCAAGAGCAGTGGATGGAGAGGAAATGGCTGGTGGGTTTGGCTGGTAATGAGGGTGAACAGTGTGGCAGCCACCTAAACCTACTCAGGAGCAGCCTGAGGTCTGCTGGCGGGGTCTGGGCCTCAGGCAGCCTTGGAACACTGGCCTCCCCCACCTCACCTGGTGCCCAACAGTCTCTTCCCTTCACGGCCAGAACATTTAGGGGTCTGTGGTCAGTGGCACTTGTGGCCCTGTGCCAAGGAGTGCCCAGTCTTAGCTGGGGAGAGAAGAGAGGTCTGTGGGGCAGGGGCCGTGCTGGGGTTGCCTCCAGCTTGCTGGAAGGCCCTGGGGAGCTCTGAGCAGCCCATTCTGCTCTCCCTCCAGCCGTGCTTCCTCAAAGACTGGGAAATGCACGTCCACTTCAAAGTCCACGGCACAGGGAAGAAGAACCTCCATGGAGACGGCATCGCCTTGTGGTACACCCGGGACCGCCTCGTGCCAGGTGGGCTGGTGTTCGCTCAGCTGGGCCCTGTGGGGGTGGGCACGGGCATGGCTGCTGGCCCCCTAGGGAGGTGGGGTGGGGCTGCCTGTGGCTCGTGGGGACCAGCGTCTCCTCTCCTGTTAGGAAAGTGCTGCCTCCCGTGGATAAAGTCCTGCGCCTCCGGAAGGAGCCTGGCTCTGGAAGGAAGGTCACTGAGGGGAGAGGAGCAGCTGGGTCCTGCAGCTCAACCCTACACCCTCATTGGCCTGGTTTTACCATTTTAAACAGTTATTGTTGTAAAAAAGCCAAAACATGAAGACTGTGTGGCTGTGACTGCATGTGGCCCACAGACCCTGAGGTGTTTCCTTGGTGGCTCTTCACAGAATGTTTGCTGCCCCTAGTATAGAGGGTAGAGCCTCCTGGGTAGGGCTGTCCTGTGGCTCACTGTTTTTTGTAGGCCAGGTACCCCCTTGACACCTGACATCTGCCTCAGTCCCCTCACAGTTCAGCCTTCAAACTTGAGTCCTCTGTGTCATATGCCTAGACCCCCCACTTCTGAGGAGAAAGCCTCAGCTTTCTCCTTTCACGATCCCTTCTCTCTCGGTGAATGGCCAGTGGGTTGGGCTCTCTTGCCCCCACCCATGTTGGCATTGCTTGCCTTTTAGGTACCCATGGGACGGCTCCTGTTTCTCCCATTCTGAGAGCATCTGCTTATAATTCTAGGGCCTGTGTTTGGAAGCAAAGATAACTTCCACGGCTTAGCCATCTTCCTGGACACCTACCCCAATGATGAGACCACTGAGGTAGGCCCCTGCTCTATCCTGCTGAGCAGGAAAGGAAGGACTGGGCAGTCGGCTAGAGGAGGGGGCCCTGGGACTTCCATGGTCCCAGCACAAGAGGAGCCTCCAGGGATTGGGGTGGTGGGTGCCCCTGCTCGCCCCACAGGCTGGGCTGCTTGTGGAGTAACCGATGTCTTGGTCCCAGCGCGTGTTCCCGTACATCTCGGTGATGGTGAACAATGGCTCCCTGTCCTACGACCACAGCAAGGATGGGCGCTGGACCGAGCTGGCGGGCTGCACGGCTGACTTCCGCAACCGCGATCACGACACCTTCCTGGCTGTGCGCTACTCCCGGGGCCGTCTGACGGTGAGCAGGCTAGGCGGTGGGGGTGGCAGCTGGTGGCCCTGTGCTGGTCCCACAGAGGCTCAGGAGGGCAGGCTGCTGTCCTGCGAGGTGCTTAGCGTGCTGGGCCCTGCAGGTGATGACCGACCTGGAGGACAAGAACGAGTGGAAGAACTGCATTGACATCACGGGAGTGCGCCTGCCCACCGGCTACTACTTCGGGGCCTCCGCCGGCACCGGCGACCTGTCTGGTGAGTGGGCCGGGCCAGGCGTTGGTTCCCAGCCCAGCTCACCCTGAGGGACTGGGAGCTTTCCATGCAGTTGATTGCCTGCCTTCATGTGGTTTCTGAGCTCACCTGGCTGTGTTCCTCCTCCTCCTTTCTTCTGTAAATGGCCTGTCCGGGCCTCAGTTCCTGTGGTTTCTGGGCTCACCTGGCTGTGTTCCTCCTCCTCCTTTCTTCTGTAAATGGCCTGTCCGGGCCTCAGTTCCTGTGGTTTCTGAGCTCACCTGGCTGTGTTCCTCCTCCTCCTTTCTTCTGTAAATGGCCTGTCCGGGCCTCAGGCCTTGAACGGTCCCTTGGCAACCTTCCCCATCAACAGGAGGCAGCGGGTCAGTTAGATTTGGGCAATGTAGATTCCCAGATTTATCTCCAGCCCAGACCGCTCTGGACCTGCTCAGCCCTTGTGCCCACAGCTGAGGCCACATCTTGCCCATCGGGATGTCAGTGGCACCTGTGCCCCTCTATTTGCTTGCTGTCTTTCCGGACCCTTCTTTCTCTCACATGGCACCTCTGGTCCATCAACAGTCCCTGTGGCTTTATTTTCACAGCACGTCTCACCACTTCCCTCCCCTCCCTGACTACCTGGCGGCTTCAGGCCACCAGTGTCTCTCACAGGAGTCTCCCAAGTGGTCCCCTCCTTCACCAGCCCCCAACAGTCTCTCGTGAGCACAGCAGCCGTGTAATCGCCTTCAGTAATCGCCTTCAGCCCGTGTGAGGCCTCCTGCTGCTCTGCGCAGAGCTCTGCAGGGGGCGCCAGGGCCTCTGTGCCAGCCCTGCCACCTCTGGCTCCCTGCTCACTGCTCCCCCTGCCTACTGTGGCTTCCAGCTGCTGCCTGGATGCGCCTGTGCCCTCCTGCCCCGGCTGTTTCACCCTTGTCTCCTAGGGCCTTGCTCAGATGTTACCTCCTCAGTGCGGCCTTCCCTGATGCCCTCGTGGAATGTCGTGCCCCCTCCTGTGTCCCCAGCCCACTCCCCAGCATCTTTGCTGGCTTTATTTTTCTTCATAATATTTACCATCTTTGAGTCTACCGAGTAATTAATTTTATTGTCTCTGGCCCTCCTGCTCAATTGTAAGCTCTATAAATGGCTGTTTGGCCCAGGGCAGGTGCTCAGCGAGCACTGGGGTGCCTCTAACCTGCTCAGGCCTCACTGGTCACCAGGCCGTGGTGGCCCTTGGCTGTGGTTCTCGGTTTCTCTTTGGGGCCCTGAGCAGGTGCCAGGCCCAGGGCCAGCTCCTGACCAGAACTGGCACGTGACACGGGGGACCTGACATGGGCGGTTTATCCTCAGGATGACCCATTCCAGGGCCTGTAGTCTGCCCACTGCCCAGGAGCCTCCTCTCTCAGCATGGAAGTGCTTGGGTCCGCTCAGACCCCAGAACATCCATTGTTTGGGGGTTTTTCAGTCACATACCCAGCAGAGGAGAGAGGTCTGGTAAGCACCCTTCCTGCCAACCAGCTTTCATCATTTCCAGCTCGCGCCTGGCTGGTTTCCCTCCTGCCCCGGGTTGCCTGGAACTTCATCACACTGTTTCAGCCCTTGTCTTTGGAGGGTTCTTGATAGGAGCAGAGCAGCACCAGTGCTGTGGCCGGTGGCAGCTCTCACAGCTGTTGGGAGAGCCCAGCACAGAGTGGAGGAGGCACCATGAGGGGAGCCGTGTCTGACCACTGGTCAGGGGTCATCAGTGCCAGGCACCTTACGGGTGATGTCACCTGATGTATTTTTAGGCAGATGGCCATCTCGTTCCCTTTTTACTCAACCATTGGGAGTTTGAAAACTGAAAGGATTTTTCCTAAGATACGAGCAGGAAGCAGCAGAGCCCAGATGGGAACTGGGGCCTGACTCCAGGGCCGGTCCTTGTCCTGCAGGGCCGCTCGCCGTCTCCAAGGGCTGTGCATGCTCGGCTCTCACACTGTGTGCCTGGCCGAGCTCTTGCTCATTAGGTCCCCCCTTGGCTCCAGAGATTCCTGCTCCCTTCAACAAGGCCTTTCCTCAGATTCCAGTCCCAGGCTGACCAGGACCCACGTGTCGGCTTTGAGCCTCAGCCTCCTCATCTCTACAATTGGGTGATCCATCAGCGTCAAGCCAGGGCTCTTCCCTGTGCATGCCATTGGACAGAGCCTTTCCCCAGTCTCCTCAGGCACAGCTGCTGACCTGCGTTAGGCTCAGGCCCTTAGCTGGTTGCCGAGTTGTTCCCCTGCAGCCTGTATGTGGGTCTCTGTGGCAAGAATGTCTGGTGGCTCCTGCCCTTGGGACCTCAGCCTTCTCAGCCAGTCACACAGCGACTGTTGGTCTTTCCCGGGTCTGTTTTTGAGCACTTATTCTGCAGGCAGGCCATCTTCTGTGTGGTGTAGACCCTTCTCATGTACTTGCCATGGCAACCACACAGATGGAGATCATCACTCCTCTACATGTGCGGAACATGAGCCTCAAAGAGGGCGGCAGACCCCAGGATTTAGACCCAGATGATTCTGCTTGTAAAGCCCTTACTGTTTTCTCTCCACTCTGCCTCCTCTCTTTTTTATTGCTGGTGACTGGAGGGAGCTGGGAAGAAAACAGGCCCTAGCCGGCTGGGCAGTGCTCTCCCCAGGGGCCTGGCAGGTTTACTGGCTGCAGCAGCAGCTTTCCTTGTGGGAGGGTCTTGGGCCACGTGCCCTGCGGCTGGCCTGTAGGCTGTCACAGGTTTATTCTTGGTCCTGCAGACAATCATGACATCATCTCCATGAAGCTGTTCCAGCTGATGGTGGAGCACACGCCCGACGAGGAGAGCATCGACTGGACCAAGATCGAGCCCAGCGTCAACTTCCTCAAGTCGCCCAAAGGTGCGTGTGCACAGCCCCGCCCTGCCTGGGCCTGGGCGGCCTGACCCAGAATGGGGTGAAGCCAGCCTGGCGGGTCTTGTGGTCCAGTCGTGGTTGTGGTGGTTGTGGTCTGGGCTCTTGGATCAGCCCGGTCCTGGCAAGCGGCACTGGCTGGCCCTGTCCGAGCTCCTAGAGTATTGGGCTTGGATCGTGTCAGCTCTGGCAAGTTTTTGAGTAAATGAATGAGGCGGAAGAGAAGTCTGCAGAGAGTCAGTCCCTGAGGACATCCTAGTCACGTGAGTGCTGTGGCAGCAAGCAGTGGCTGATCAACAAACGTGTGAGTGGTGGGCCAGCATCCTCCCTCACTAGGTGCTGGGGCAGTGGCCAGCAGAGCCAGGGGGCTGGGTATGTTGGCCCACCTGTCCCTTCTGTGAGCCACCTGGAAGAAGTCGTGCTGCTGGTCAAGGGGGTGGATTCCTTAGCTAGAAGGAGAGAGAGAGCAAGATTGGAAATTGGGTTTCTACAAAACCCGAAGCCTGGGTTCTTCCCATGGCACTAATTAGCTACCCCTTTCCTCACAGAGTGAACGTTGTGGTTGGAGGAATGAGGCATCTGTGTGTGGAGAAGTCCACCCTAAGAGCCACAGATGTGTGCCTGGGGGTCCAGCCAGTGACAGAAGTGCACGGCGCGGGCTCTGTCGTAGCCCAGCCCTGGGTCCCCATGCCGTGTGGGCCAGTTTGGCCGCGTGTTTCTGCTTTTCAGGAGAAGCCAAGATCCAGTGTTTTATGTGACAGTTCACTTTTTAAAGATTCAGATTATTTTGAAATGTTTTGGGGACCACACAAACCTTGCTGCAACCTTTGGTCAGAAGGCTGCCAGCTGCTGGGTGTTTGCAGAGGTGGCACCTGCCTTGCCCACCCAGCATCCCGTGCAGCTGGCAAGGCAGGATGAACTCGTTTTTAGATTCAATCCATTTGTTCCTTCAGATGTGACCAAAGCTGCCCTCTGTGCCTAGCCATGGGCTGGGTGCTGGAGACACGAGATCAGGCAGGCCCTGCCCCTGGGGCTCATTCTAGGGTCTGCGGCAGACAGGGAGACAGAGGGAGCTGTGAGAGCCCTGAGGCTGAGTGGCTTTCTGGGGAAGCACCATCCCTAGGGACCTCCGCGTTCGGTCAGTGGCCGCTGCTGTCGGTGTGCAGAGCAGAGGCTGGGGCGAGAGTGGTCAGCAGGCCTGCTGGTGGCAGCTTGTGCAGGAAGGGAGGATGGAGGTTGGCTTGTGGCTGGCAAGAGGGTGGCATGCACGTCGCTGAAAGGCAGGGCCTGGGCCCGAGGCCTGGGTGTGGGGACGCCTGAGGAGACTGTACAGTGTGGAGTCGGGGGGGCCGCAGTCAGGGAGGGAGGCAGAGTGGCAGAAACAGGGCCCAGCCAGACCCCAGCTCCTCCACCCACAGCCTGGAGAGCTTGGGAAAGTCAGTGTCTTCTCTCCGCCTGTACAAGGGAGCGTACCAGTGGGCCCCATCCCAGGATGGGCAGGACCTGTGGGAACCTTGTGTGGAGGAGAGAGGCTGTGGGCTGGGGTGGAGTGTGGGACTCAGGTCCTGGGAGACCCTCCTGGGGGGCTGCCGAGAGCATCCAGCTGTGGGCTGGGAGAGCCTGTGACCAGGGCCGCGCTGCTCCAGAAAGGGCCCTCAGACCACAGCGTGGGGGTGGGGCTTGGATATGTAGACTCCTGGGCCTCCCCTTATCCAGAGTTGGACTCAGAGGAGCCCAGGAGTCTGGTTTTAACTGGCTTCCTGCAGCAGAAGGCAGCCCAGGCTTGTCGCTGGGGTCCCGGGTCCCTGTGGGCTTGGTCCTCTCTCTGCCCCACCCTGCCCTGGGGACTGCAGAGCTGGCTGGGATGGGCTTCACCTGACCTCTGCCCCTCCCCGGTGAGGGGGGTGAGTACGACCGGCCTGCCCACCGTGGCCGGCTGTCCTGTTCCATCCCCACTGCCCTCCTGCAGCCCCCTGATCCCCGGCCCGTGCTGCCGTTTCAGCTCCCCCGTTTCTTCTCCCCCAGACAACGTGGACGACCCCACGGGGAACTTCCGCAGCGGGCCCCTGACGGGGTGGCGGGTGTTCCTGCTGCTGCTGTGCGCTCTCCTGGGCATCGTTGTCTGCGCCGTGGTGGGGGCCGTGGTGTTCCAGAAGCGGCAGGAGCGGAACAAGCGCTTCTACTGAGTGGCGCCTCCGGCGGGGCCTGTCCCTGGGCCCAGGAGCCAATGTGAACTTTTTTTTTTACCGGGATTATAAAAGAACAACAAGATGACCTTATTTCTTAACTGTTTCAAATAAATGATTAAAGTATTTTCATACATTTTGCTTCTTGCCCAGCAGGGACAGGTGGCAGAGCCGAGGCTTAGGGTCTGGCACCCCCCACAGCTGGAGACGGAGGCTCTCCTGGGGCTGGTGTCTCAGGAGCAGGGGTCTGTGTCTACAGATGGGCTGTGGCCCCTGCAGGCAGCTGTTGAACACTGGAGGGTCCCCCGGACCACACTGGGGTGGGCTCCTGAGGACGTGGGGAAGTGATTTTGTTTTGTGGTGTGTGGCACGTGTGGCGACGGATAAGGCCTGAACTGGGAAACCCAGGCCTTCCTGTTCACCCTGAGCTGCTTCCTGAGACAGATGCTCAAGTGAGGCTGCAGGCGCGGTGTGGTGGGGCCGAGTGTGACCGTTTGCTAAATAAAGTGAAATACCCAACCTCAGCCGTGTGACTGTCCTGAGGGGCTTGCTTTGCTTTCTCTTCTAATGACTTCCAGCCCGCCAGTGCTTTAGAGCTTTCAGCTCGTCTGCTCTGACCTGCAGAGTCCCGGAGGATGGGATGGGTTGCCCTGTTTCCCAGCTGGGGACACACGGCTCTCAGAGGTCAAGTACAGCTTGCCCAGTGTCACCTGGCAAGTGATGTTTTGGGGATGGGGCCCTGTGCTGTCTCCCACATGCTCTGGGCCTCTGGGTAAAAGGATGGGTGGTAAGGGGCACCACGTGGAGGCTTGGCTGGGCAGGCGGGTACACTGACGGGGAACTCCGGGGGGCTCTGGGATGATGTGCAAGGGGCTGGAGGATGGTGGGGGTGGTTGTGGCAGTCCCTTTGGGGCACCTCAGGGGACAAAGATGATAACGGGGAGTGGAGGAAAGGCAGCAGCTGAAGGCATGGCACCACCCCCGGCAGCTTCCATAATCGTCGCCCCCAGCTGTGGCTGCCTCCACCTCGCGCCGTGGAGCAGCATGTCCCGTCCCGTCCCAAGCCACCCCTCTGGCTCTGATCCCAACTCTAGCCCTCCTTGGACACCTTGCTGAGCCGATGATCTTGTCTTCCTCGTCCCCTTCCCACTCCCCGTTCAGTTGCATTTGAATCTCCCACCTTAGAAGCCAGCCGTCCCTCCTTTCAGCAGCCAGGCTTTTGGTAATTAACACTATCAAACAGATTATCATTGCAAAAAATATAGAGAGACATGAGTGAGAGTAAGGACTTTACCCTCTGTCTCTCATTCTCCAGAGCTCTTCACTGGTCCACTGTCACCCGCCTCTCGTGTCCTCTGTGTTTCCTCCTTCAACAGGTTAGACGTCTAGAGATTCCACACAGTGACTGAGAGGTTCGAGTTTGTGCTGCTTTCACGGGTTTGGGAGCCTGTTCGTGAAGCCTGAAGAGTAATCATGATCCTCCTTATTGAAGTATTTTATTAACACTTTTCCCAAAGCAGTTCCTTTCCTTGAAAAGGTAGCAGATCGTGTGTTTATGACAGGCCCTGCTTCGGAGCGATTGAGGCACATAACTCATTTCATCCACGACGCTCACCTGTCAGGTGCTGGAGGGCTTTAGGCCAGGTGTGTAGAGCCGAGGCCCAGAGACGAGCTCTCCACGGCTGCTACAATCACGTCATCGGCACCACGCTCACCAGGCTTCACCTTTAATTTTTGGCTCTAAATTGGTCTTCACCGAATTCCTGAATTACTAGGCCAATTAGTGTCCCATACTAGATGGTTCTCAGCCTTGGCTGTGTATTGGAGTTCCCTGGAGAACTGAGAAGAGCCTGCCTTCTTCTCCAGTTCTGGCTGAGTGTGTCAGGTGGAGCTGGGGCAAGGGTGGCTTCAAAAGCCCCTGCAGTGGTTTTAACAGGTACCCAAGCTTGAGCACAAGACGGAGTTAGGGCCCATGCTGTGGCAGCAGGTGTTAAAGGTCCCACGCTGTGGCAGCAGGTGTTAAAGGTCCCACGCTGTGGCAGCAGGTGTTAAAGGTCCCATGCTGTGGCAGCAGGGGTTAAAGTGATCGTGCCGGTCTCTACTTGGCTGTCACGGTGGGCACCCCTTTCCATTGGAACATAGCCTTGTTGTACCTAAGAAAAGTTGATTGTTTCAAAATTCATACCTAGAGGTGCTTCCCTAGAACGATCGATGTGTATTCTGACATCCGCATTTCACACACGCAGGACCGTGATGCCATAGTCTATGTTTTTGCCATGTGTGTCTAAAAATTTGAGGTATTTCATCATACAAAAGTTAAACGTGAATGTGTGGCTATGGACCTGCCGTGCGACGTGAGAAATATCACGGACGCACTTGGATCCCTCTGTCTCCTCCTGCCAAAGGTGATTGCTGCAGGATCTGACTTTTTGTGTCTGTCTGAAAATTTTTACCACAGGGATATGTATCTCTACATACATTGTATTGTTTTGAATTTCTGAAGACTAAGTGGTACATGGACGTATTCCTCAACTTTTGCAATTCAGCATGGTTGGTGAGTCTTTGGATTACATGTGGCTCAAGATGGGTGTTTCTCACTGTGAGGTATGAACAGACTCCAGTTTCTCCATTCTGCTGCTGATTGGAGGTGGTTTAGGGCTTTTGCTCTGCTACATGATACTGCTCTAAGCACTCCTGGATGTGTCTTATTTATTTATTTATTTATTTATTTATTTTTGAGACAGAGTCTTAAACTCTGTTGCCCAGGCTGGAGTGCAGTGGCACAGTCTTGGCTCACTGCAACCTCTGCTTCCTGGGTTCAAGCGATTCTCCTGCCTCAGCCTCCCGAGTAGCTGGGACTACAGGTGTGCACCACCATGCCTGGCTAATTTTTGTATTTTTAGTAGAGAAAGGGTTTCATCACGTTGGCCAGGCTGGTCTCGAACTCCTGACCTCAAGTGATCCACCCGTCTCAGCTTCCCAAACTGCTGGGATTACAGGCGTGAGCCACCGCACCCAGCCCATTTTCAGTTTTACTAGAGGGTGCCTCGCTGCTCTCCAAATCGGGCCGTGACCACAGTGGGGTGGCACCTGCCGAGATCCCCTCTGTCCCTCAGCACCTGATATAGTCAGAGCTTTCCATTTTTGACAGGTGGATGCAAAAGCTTTCGTTTGTTTCTCTGCTAGCCATGTTGGGATGTGTGTGCGTTTATTGGCATCTGTGTTTCTGTGTGGTGGTTTAGTCCGGGCCCTTTCTTCCGGCCGTGTAGGAGTGCCTGTGCGGGGCTCCTCTGGTGATATGCCCTTGGCGCATACCTTCCAGTGTGCCTGGGGGCTTTTGCTTTTCAATGACGTCATTTGATATACAGCCTATAATTTAGTGTGATTTCATAATCTATTCTAAAGATTTTGTTTTTGCTTAAAAGCTTTAAAATTTTGCTTTTCAAATTTGGCATTTAATCGAAGTGGAGTTAAGCTGGCGTAGGGTGTGATGTAGGGAATCCATTTTTCCAATTGTCTCCAGCCAGTTCCAGCACCATTTACCGACCCCTGGGTCCTTCTGCACCCTCTGAGGCGCACACTCAGGTGGCCACGCCACATCTGCTCCTAACCCTGCCCCTCAGCTTCCTCCCCTCTCGGGCTGGAAGGCTATATACTTGGCTGAGCTCCCGGCTCCTTCCAGCTAGGGCGGCCGTGTGCCCACTGCGGCTGGTCAGATGCCCGAGCCTGCCGACGAGGGCCTCCAGTTCCTCTGGGTTTCCCCAGGTGAGGAGATCTAACAGCAGCTGGTGTGGCCGGGCCCGCTCCCGTCTTCCTGTCTGGAATGTGGAAGGGACCCCTGGCATGCAGAACCCCCCGTGTGACCACAAGGGCTGAGTGGAGCACCCGGAGCCTGGTGGAGGGAGAGTCCTTGGCGTGGCTGAGGTGCTGCCCAGCCCGGACTGCCAGCTGCAGGGGTTTTATGTTAAAAAAAAAAATGCCTATTTGTTCAAACTACTGTGAGTCATGTTTTCTGTTCTTTTGTGGCTAAAAGCAGCCCTGCCTTTATCCCCTCCGTGTGGTGAGTTTTCTGACATGTATAGGTCTGCTCCAGACTGCCGCTGATGGTCACAGTCCATTCTGTGCCACACACGGCATTAGGCACTGGGGATACAACAGAGGACAAAAGGGACAAAGATCTCTGTCCCCATGGAGCTCATAGTCTAGTGGAGAGATCGGGTGAAATAAGTATGTTACATAGTGCTTACATTGGTTTCCTAGGGCTGCCATAAAGGACCACAAACTGAGGGGCTTGAACAACAGAAAGTGATTGGCTCTCAGTTCTAGAGGCCGGAAGTCTCAAGTCAGGGTGTTGGCAGAGCTGCGCTGTCTCTGATGGCTGTAGAGGAGAGCCCTTCCCTTCCTGTTCCCGGCTTCTGGCCATTCTCAGCAGACGTGGGAGTTCCTTGGCTCGTAGACACACCACTCCAGTCTCCGATTCCATCATAACGTGGCCATCTTCAGATCATCTTTCCTCTGTATGTCTCCATAGCTCCAGTTTTTTCTTTTCTTACTTTTTTTTTTTTTAATAGAAATGGGGTCTTGCCATGCTGCCCAGGTTGATCTTGGAACTCCTGGGCTCAAGCGATCCACCCGCCTTGGCCTCCTAAAGTGCTGGGATTACAGGCATGAGTTACTGCGCCCGGCCCAAATTTTCTGTTTTTTGTTTTGTTTTTTTTGTTTTTCAAGACGGAGTCTTGCTCTGTCACCTGGGCTGGAGTGCAGTGACCTGATCTTAGCTCACTGCAACCTCCACCTCCTGGGTTCAAGCAATTCTTCTGCCTCAGCCTCCCGAGTAGCTGGGATTACAGGCATGCACCACCAGGATCGGCTAATTTTTTGTATTTTTAGTTGAGACGGGGTTTCTCCGTGTTGGTCAGGCTGGTCTCGAACTCCCAACCTCAGGTGATCTGCCTGCCTCGGCCTCCCAAAGTGCTGGGATTACAGGCACGAGCTACCATGCCTGGCCTAAGTTTTTAAACTTCTGTAGAAACAGGGTCTCACTGTGTTGCCCAGGTTCAAGCAATCCTCCTGAAGTGCAGGGATTACAGGCATGAGTGGCTGTGTCCAGCCTTTTTCTTTCTTTCTTTCTTTCTTTCTTTCTTTCTTTTCTTTCTTTCTTTCTTTCTTTCTTTCTTTCTTTCTTTCTTTCTTTCTTTCTTTCTTTCTTTCTTTCTCTTTCTTTCTTTCTTTCTTTCTTTCTTTCTTTCTTTCTTTCTTTCTTTCTTTCTTCCTTTCTTTCCTTTCTTTCCTTTCTTTCCTTTCTTTCTTTCCTTTCTTTCTTTCTTTTTTTTTTTTTTTCGAGACAGAGTCTTGCTCTGTCGCCCAGGCTGGAGTGCAGTGGCTCAGTCTAAGTTCACTGCAACCTCTGCCTCCTGTGTTCAAGTGATTCTCCTGCCTCAGCCTCCCAAGTAGCTGGGACTACAGGTGCGTGCCACCACACCCGGCTAATTTTTGTATTTTTAGTAGAGACGGGGTTTCACCATGTTGGCCAGGATGGTCTCAAACCCCTGATCTCGTGATGCACTCACCTCGGCCTCCCAAAGTGGTGCAATTACCAGCGTGAGCAACTGCACCTGGCCTCTTTTCTTATTTTAAATTAACTTTTTCCACGTGTTCTGATCCAGGCTCCTTTTCCAAATTAAAAGTGTATATTTAAACATTCCATCTTAGACAGTGTGATAGTCATGAGGTCATAGAAGTAGTTAAGAGGAAAGTTAATCTATAATGAAGATCAAGTTGAAGAGGAAAAGCATCTTTTCTGGAGCCCTAGTCTTTTGCAACATTTTACAAAACAATGTAGGTAAAGAAAAGGCTAATCTATAATCAGAGGAACAAAGGTTACAGCTGCCTAGGTTACAGCTGCCTACCACATGACTCAGCCTCCATAATCACATTCCTTTAAGGCTCAAAGTAATTTAAAGTTCCAACAACATTGATTCTGAATTACTTATTTTTGTAGACCCTTGCAAATGCACCCACAGGCAGCAGATTGCTGGGCACACAGCCATCTGGGGAGTGGACCTCCACTGTCGCTGGGCCCACTGGCATTGGGGACAGCATTTACATGGGAGAGAAATCAGCCACTGTGTATGCATTGTTGCAGGTTTTCTTTTGCTCACAGCCAAACCTAATCCTAACTCATACAAGTGGGAAGTTGTGATCAGAGGGAGAATCTAGTCTGTAGAAGCATTAAATGGTTAAGTTAGCAAATTGAGGAGAAACATCACAGGTTATTTATTTATTTAGAGACAGGGTCTGGCTCTGTCACCCAGGCTGGTGTGTAGTGGTGCCGTCTTGACTCACTGCAACCTCTGGCTGCTGGGTTCAAGTGATCCTTCCACCTCAGCCTCCTGAATAGCTGGGAATAGCTGGGACTACAGGTGCACACCACCATGCCCAGCTAGTTTTTGGCGGTATTTTTGGTATTTTGTTTTGTTTTGTTTTTTGAGATGAGTCTTACTCTGTTGCCTAGTCTCGAGTGCAGTGGTGCAATCTCACCTCACTGCAATCTCAGCCTCCTGAGAAGCTGGGATTACAGTCATATGCCACCATGCCTGGCTAATTTTTGTATTTTTAGTAGAGACAGGGTTTCACCATGTTGCCCAGGCTGGTCGTGAACTCCTGAGCTCAAGCAATCCTCCCGCCTCGGCCTCCCAAATTGCAAGGATTATAGGTGTGAGCCATTGCATCTGGCCAACAAATCAGTCAGCATAGGAGGAGCGGATCTTGTGGAGAGAGAAGGCGTTAGGAGGGAACTAGGCAAACCCTGGATTGACTTGTGTGAAGTCAGGTAGTGAAGATGACCAATATGTAATAAACTGGTGACTCTGGGCCACGTGCCATGCAATGGCACATCCTCATCATCACAGCTGATCTTGGGCACCACTACTTGGTAGAAATCTCCAGAAATCTGGAATCCTGGACCTGGATTCTCTTAGTATGCTGTAGGGGCTATTATATGTAGCCTGTCCTCACCATCATCCTGAAGGGGTAGAACAAGAAATCAACAGAATTTACTTGGAATTTTGGTTCCAAATGGCTGTTAATTAAAAAAAAAAAAAGTGCAATCTCCTGCTTTCCTGGTCTCTTAACTCTCCGATTCTTATATCCCATGTCTTTTGCACTTTCTGATTTTGAGGTATATCTCCTTTAGAAACTCTCCTATAGATGGTTTCGAGGTGGCCGTGGTTTGTCTGCCCCCTCCAAAACTCATGTTGAAACTTCATCTCCAGTGTGGCAGTACTGAGAGGGGAGGCTTTAAGAGGTGACTGGATCATGAGGGCTTTGCCCTCAAGAGATTAATCCACTCATGGATTAATGACTTCAGGGGTTAGTCGCTTAATGGGTTATCATGGGAGGAGAACCAGTGGCTTCATGAGAAGAGGAAGAGAGACCTGAACTAGCATGTGAGCACGCTCAGCCCCCACCCTGTGATGCCCTGTACCAGCTCCAGACTCTGCAGAGTCCCCACCAGCAAGACCTCACCACATGCAGCCCCTCGACCTTGGACTTCCCAGCCTCCAGAATTGCGAGATATTCCTTTTCTTTATAAATAACTCAGTTTCAGGTATTCAGAAAACAGACTAAGAGGCTGGGTGCGGTGGCTCATGTCTGTAATCCTAGCACTTTGGGAGGCTGAAGTGGTAGGATTGCTTGATCTCAGGAGTTCAAGACCAGCCTGGGCAACATTGTGAGACCCTGTCTCTACAAAAAAAAAGAAATTAGCTGGGCGTGGTGGTGCAACTCGGGAGGCCGAGGCACAAGGATTGCTTGAGCCTGAGAGGTTGAGGCTGCAGTGAGCTACGATCATGCTACTGCACTCTCGCCTGGAAATTTTTTTTTCTTTATTTTTTGAGACAGAGTCTCGCTCTGTCGCCCAGGCTGGAGTGCAGTGGTGCAATCTTGGCTCACTGCAAGCTCCGCCTCCCGGGTTCAAGCAGTTCTCCTGCCTCAGCTTCCTGTGTAGCTGGGATTACAGGCGCACGCCACCACGCCCGGCTAATTTTTTTTTTGTATTTTTAGTAGAGATGGGGTTTCACCATGTTGGTCAGGCTGGCCTTGAACTCCCGACCTTGTGATCTGCCCGCCTTGGCCTCCCAGAGTGTTGGGATTACAGGAGTGAACCACCGTGCCTGGCCTTTTTTTTCTTTTTGAGATGGAGCCTCCCTCTGTCACCCAGGTTGGAGTGCAGTGGCACGATCTTGGCTCACTGGCAACCTCCACCTCCAGGGTTCAAGCGATTCTCCTGCCTCAGCCTCCTGAGTAGCTGAGACTATAGGCATGTGCCACCACACCCAGCTAATTTTTTGTATTTATAGTAGAGATGGGGTTTCGCCATGTTGGCCAGGATGGTTTCGAACTCCTGACCTCAAATGATCCGCCCACCTCAGCCTCCCATAGTGCTGAGATTACAGATGTGAGCCACCATACCCTGCTGAGGATCTTTGCATCAGTGTTCATTAAGGAATATTGGCCCGTAGGTTTCTTTTCTTGTAGTGCCTTCGTCTAGCTTTGGTACTGGGGTAATGCTGGCCTCACAGAATGAGGAAGTTTTCCCTTCAAGCTTTTGGAAAAGTTTGAGGATTCGTATTCTTCAAATGTTTGGTATAATTTTACCAGTGAAGGTGTCAGGTCCAGGGATTTTCTTTGTCAAGAGATATTTGATTACTGATTCAGTCTCCATAATAATCATAGGGTCTATTCAGAATTTCTGTTTCTTTGTGATATCATCTTGGTAGGTTTTATGTTCCTAGCAATTTGTCCATGTCATCTAGGTTATCCAATTTGTTGGGATACAGTTGTTCGTAGTACCCTCTTATAATCCTTTTTATTTGCGTAGAATGGGTAGTAATGTTCCTACTTTCATTTCTGATTTTAGTAATTTGAGTCTTCTTGTCTTTTCCTAGTCCATCTAGCCAAAGGTTTGTCAATTTTGTTGATCTTTTCAAATAACCAACTTTTGGTTTCATTAATTTTCTCTGTTGTTTCTCTGTTCTCTATTTCATTGATCTCTGCTTTAATCTGTATTATTTCCTTTTTTTCTGCTATCTTTGTGTTTAGTTAGTTCTTTTTCTAGTTCCTTAAGTTTTTAAGTTAGGTTGTTAATTTGAGATCTTGGCTTTTTTTCCCCTCTTACCATTATTCTCAAGAAATATAAAAATAAACACAATCGTACAGAGAATGAAGCACTGTAAAAGTAAAGCATTGAAGAGTAAATATGAAATATATTGCACAAGAGGGTTGAGATCAAAATACCAGAAATATAAATTATATCAATAAATGTAAATGAACTCATGTAACAAAACATTTTATCAGGCCAGGCGCCAGTTGCTCACACCTGTAACGCCAGCACTTTGGGAGGCTGAGGTGGGTGGATCACCTGAGGTCAGGAGTTCGAGACCAGCCTGGCCAACATGGTGAAACCCCCTCTCTACTAAAAATACAAAAATTAGCCGGGCCTGGTGGTGCGCGCCTGTAATCCCAGCTACCCGGGAGGCTGAGGCAGGAGAATCACTTGAACCTGGGAGGCAGAGGTTGCAGTGAGCCGAGATTGTACCACTGCACTCCAGCCTGGTGACAGAGCGAGACTCTGTCTCAAAAAAAAAAAAAAAAAAAAAAAAAAAAAAAAAATATATATATATATATATATACACACACACACACACACACACACACACACATATATAAAAAACTGTATATAATTATATGTAATTAATATAACAACAAAAATTACATAGACAATTTTATATAATTTCTGTGTATATGAGATATATATTATGTGTGTATATGACTGAGGAAGCCAAGCTCATAGGCCTGTGGAGTGAAGTGTTTCCTCAGAGACCAGGCATGCTGTTGGAAACATGAGGGAAGAATAAGCAGTTAGAACCACCTGGAGACACGGATATGCAACTTTTTAGTTGACATAAAGGACTCAATATAGGGGTTGATAACAAAATGGATTCACCAAATTAGTTGAAGATCAACTAATTTGAAGATCAGATCAAAGATCAGAGGACCTTGGGAGGAAACACAGAGATGGAGATTTATAAAGAGATTTATAAAGAGGAGATTTTTAAAGAGAATGGGCCCGGCATGATGGCTCATGCCTGTAATCCCAGTACTTTGGGAGGCCGAGGCAGGCGGATCACGAAGTTGAGATCGAGACCATCTTGGCCAACATGTTGAAACCCCGTCTCTACTAAAAATACAAAAAAATTAGCTGGGTGTGGTGGCGTGTGCCTGTAGTCCCAGCTACTTGGGAGGCTGAAGCCGGAGAATGGCTTGAACCTGGGAGGCAGAGGTTGCAGTGAGCCGAGATCGTGCCACTGCACTCTAGCCTGGTGACAGAGCGAGACTCTGTCTGAAAAAAAAAAAAAAATTAAAAAAATACAAAATTAGACGGGCATGGTGGTGCGTGCCTGTAGTCCCAGCTACTCGGGAGGCTGAGGCAGGAGAATCACTTGAACCTGGGAGGCGGAGGTTGCAGTGAGCTGAGATCGTGCCACTGCACTCCAGCCTGGGCAACAGAGTAAGGCTCTGTCTCAAAAAAAAAAAAAAAAAAAAAAAAAAAGAAAAGAAAAAAAGGAATATGGAGAATATAAATGGAAATCAGCAACCAAAAGATAACTGAAAAAATCCTTTGTATCTGGAAACTAAAAACATACTACCAAATAACATTCGGACTTAAGAATAAATCATAATGAAAGCCCCACACTAAAAGAGGAAAGCTTCAGGACCTGGCTAAAGGAAGAGAGGTTTGTGGCTGGAACAAGAACATTTGCAGGGTGCCCGGATCCCTTGAAGAGGACACCCTGACACTGACCGTGGGAACAGCCTACGCTACACATGCAGGCGTTCAGGTGGAGTACTCTTCCCATACTCCAGAGAACAGGCTGAAACTTTTGACTCAGCAAAGGCCAGAAGGAAAAGGGGAAGTGGTTTATCAAGTGCCTGCTGGAGCATATAACATCCCAGACACTGAGCACTTGCATACAAGTGACCGACATGGCTGGCCCCACCGCTTGCCAGTGCTGCCTGGTCAGTGGGTTAGACTCATCCCATGACGCTAGCAGGGTAGTTGCTCTTGTTGTCTTTGGAAGGACCTTTTCTCTCCTTTTCTTTTTTGAGATGGAGTCTTGCTCTTGTTGCCTAGGCTTTAGTGCAATGGCACAGTCTTGGCTCATTGCAACCTCCGCCTCCTGGGTTCAAGCGATTCTCCTGCCTCAGCCTCCCGAGTAGCTGGGATTACAGGCATGTGCCACCACACCCGGCTAATTTTGTATTTTTAGTAGAGACGAGGTTTCTCCATGTTACTCAGGCTGGTATCAAACTCCCGACCTTAGGTGATCCACCTGCTTTGGCCTCCCAGAGTGCTGGGATTACAGGCGTGAGCCACCATGCCCGGCCATGGAAGGACTTTTTCAAGAAACCGATGTGGTCAGTTTTCCGTATACCTCCAGGTGTTCTGTTCTGGCGTCTGGGTGCTCCACCAGCACGGAGAAAGACGAGTGCCCTGTGGCCTGAGTCCCAGGCACTGAACACTCTAGCCTGGGCAGCAGCTCCGGGAGGACTCAGCTTCCCGAGCACCGCCCTCAGGTTGGGAATCCACAGCAGCACCCACAACACACCACACAGTGCACCAGCCATCAAGGGGGCGCACAAATGACCAGGGCTGCCTTCCAGGCAATGGCCACTGCCTGGTGGATCCAGTTAGTAAGCCAAGAGCAGTTTGAGGACATACCATCTCCATCTGGCATCAAACCACCCTGCTCACTGCGCCAGTTGTTGTAAGGACACCTTGGATTTGTTGTCCTTAGATATGATGTAACAGACACAGAAATGACTGCCATGGTGGGAAGAAGCTTATACTCACAGTTCCCTAGAAACAGGCGGCACCGCACACTAACACGGGCCACACGGGGAAGCACCAGTGTTGGTCGGGGGCAGAGGGAGGGAGGGGAACTGTGGGGCAAGAGCCTTTATTGTGGTTTGCTTAGGAAGGAACCTGAGAGGCAGAGTGAGCAGGTCTAGGATTGCCTAGCTTGAATAATTTCAATGGGTTTGGGGTAGGATGTCCCTAGTTGTCCAGTCTCTGGGGGATAGTGGTGCAGCGTGTAAGAGCCCAGTAAAGGAGGTGGTTGGAAGGTATGGGCTCTGGATTGGTTAGTATGAATATGAAAGGCACGGCACGCTTGCAGGTGAGTGAGTGAGTTACTATCTCTAGGAATTGGATGAGAGGATGGAGTATGATGAACCTTTGATTCCTGGAGGGCCATGAGTTCACTGTGGTATGGAAATGCAGCTGTGCTGTGATCAGTTAGTGGAGGCAAAAATTAATAATGAATTTTAGAAATGATGGATGCAACTCCCAAGGAGTTAGTTCACTGGACGTATAAGGAAATGCAAAGTAACTAGAAACAAGCTAAATATACCATCCTATTGTTCTCTGTAGCAACAATGAAGGCAAAAGATGGTGATAGGGCAGATCCTGAGATTGGGCCAAGCTTGGATTGTGGCTGGTCTGAGCTACAGCTATTCCCAGGGCCACTTTTGAGGGGGAAAATTATGCTGAAACAACAGTGAAGATGGTTAGAATGATTCACAAGAGAGTGGGGAAAACAAAGGGAAGAGTCAAGATACTCATCCCAGCAGGATGGAATCTTTAAAGGGTTCTTAATGAAATGGACTGAATAAAGTAGGCATTGATGGGGTCAAAACAAAGGTCATCTCCAACACCCTTGGAAGTCCTTGGGTGGACAGATGGGAGCTTCTGCTGGTCCCCCACTATTGAAGGGCCCTAAACAAATCTGATTTACTCACCTTAGTTTGGAAGATTTTAAAATGTTAGAGGGAGGCCGGCCTGTAATCCCAGCACTTTGGGAGGATCACCTGAGGTCAGGAGTTCGAGACCAGGCTGACCAACATGGTGAAACCCCATCTCTACCAAAAATACAAAAAAATGGTCAGGCGTGGGGGCACACGCCTGTAATCCCAGCACTTTGGGAGGCTGAGGCGGGCGGATCATGAGGTCAGGAGATCGAGATCATCCTGGCTAACACGGTGAAACCCTGTCTCTACTAAAAATACAAAAAGTTAGCCGGGTGTGGTGGCACGTGCCTGTAGTCCCAGTTACTTGGGAGGCTGAGGCAGGAGAACCGCTTGAACCCAGGAGGCAGAGGTTGCAGTGAGCTGAGATCACACCATTGCACTCCAGCCTGGGCAACAAGAGCAAAACTCTGTCTAAAAAGCAAACAAACAAACAAACAGACAAACTAGCCAGGCATGGTGGCGGGTGCCTGTAATCCCAGCTACTCAGGAGGCTGAGGCAGGAGAATCGCTTGAACCCAGGAGGCAGAGGTTGCAGTAAGCTGAGATCGCGCCATTGCGCTCCAGCCTGGGCGACAGAGTGAGACTCCGTCTCCAGGAAAAAAAAAAAAGGCCAGAGGGAAAGATGACAAGGAGAAAGCTGATAGGTAGTCACCTGGGGCAATTGTGCCACAATCTAATCAAGATAATGACTGACACCCACTGCGGACCCAAGGCCATGTGGACATGAGCCGGTGAAATGGTCAGGGGCTGCAGGAGAGACTTTACTGGGACACCTTTTTGTGGAACCCAAGCTCTGTGATTCCAAAATCTATTTGTGAAGTCCCAATGGGAGCGAGAGTTCGACTGGGAGAATATGGGAATGTGATACCTGATGGAATGGAAACGGTGAGGGTTGAGCAGGCTTTATGCAAAGCGACTGCAGCTCCTTTACCTGAATGTACTATGGGGGTGGATATTGGGTCTGGCTGAGGTGTTTCTCTTACCTAGCATGCTAAAGCGGAAGGCATGTGAATCTCCCCACCTGCCAATATTGATTGGATGTACTTGATGGAAACCAGTAAGATTGCCCAAGCCTGTGCAAGTTGTTCATTTGTTGTACCGTAGCCCCGCTGAGGAGCAGACTGGACCTGAGGGCAAAAGCCGGAGTGCCACCTAGTGGCAACCACTGGGATTTTGGACCAGGAAATTTCCATTTGACTAACTTGCTATTGGATTTAATTAAAGTCCAATTGCCCCTATGACTTAAGGACATAAAATAACCTTGAAACCTGAAATACTTATAATTTCTTGGGTGATGTTGGGGAAATACTCTGATAGGAGGGCAGTGCCCAGAAGGGTCCATCATCATTTGGAAATGATTTTTCTGGAAACATGCTATCTGGGGAATGCAAGAAGGCCGTCCCAAGTGGGTGCCTCTTCCCCCACAGGCAACTTCAGAGCCACCTAAGGAGTTTCACGGGCCACATGGGCAGTGAGTGCCCTATGAACAGCTCTCTATTGACCAACAAGAGCCGCCTGGTTTATGGATGACAGGCGGCTTTCAAGGTGACAGGACAGCTTCCTATCTGGAAGACCATCAAAGAAGGTAAAAACAAATCACCTCAGCAGGTTGAATTGACTGGTGTTTGTGCTACATCTCACGGGCAGTGGCCAACCTGCCCGCACAGTCAGCAGAAGGGCAATGGAAAACTGGCCTATTAGTGATCCCACTAATAGGTCCACATGGGCCTGTGGACATCATTATGGGAGTCGGAGGGGTACATTAAAGTAGGACGTTTGATGTTCATCAGAAGAACCCCATTCCAGGATCAGGGGGTGATTGGATTCAGTCAGTGGATATTCTGGTGTGCTCACTTAAGGAGGCCTCATGATATGAGGGACATACGGGGTTGCCACAGTGCAGGGATGGACTGAGTCTAGACATGTTCCCCTTGCACCCTCTGAGGCACAAAACACCAGTAACTGTTCTGTCTGTCAACGAGAGGCTTGATAGGCAAGTCACACTGAAGCCTGTAGCCCCAGGAAGTGTAAGTCGTGGCAGGAACAGTCACTCTGCACACTGGGCTCAGCTTCCCTGTGGTAGATGCAAATGCTCACAGCACAGTAAAAGGACTGGAACTCAGCTGAGCGCAGTGGCTCACGCCTGTAATCCCAGCATTTTAGGAGGCCGAGGTGGGCAGATCACCTGAGGTCAGGAGTGCGAGACCAGCCTGGCCAACATGGTGAAACCCTGTCTCTACTAAAAATATAAAAATTAGCCGGGCATGGTGGCAGGTGCCTGTAATCTCAGCTACTTGGGAGGCTGAGGCAAGGGAATCGCTTGAACCCAGGAGGTGGAGGTTGCAGTGAGCCGAGACCGCGCCATCCATTGCCCTCCAGCCTGGGGGACAAGAGCGAGACTTCATCTCAAAAAAAAAAAAAAAAAGGTACCAATTTGGACTCTGCCAGGTCACATTTCTTCAGACCAAGGAACACATTTTACAGCACATAGTGTCCAACAGTGGCGGAGACATCCTCCCCAGAGTGATGGTTTGATGAAGAATTGGAATAGGCAAGTGAAACATTTGTTGACTGAAATAGGAAAAGCCAGGCAAGGTGGCTCATGCCTGTAATCCTAGCACTTTGGGAGGCCGAGGCAGACGGATTGCTTGAGCTCAAGAGTTTGAGACCAGCCTGGGCAACAATGGCAAAATCCTGTCTCTACAAAAAATACAAAAAATTAGCTGGGCGTGGTGTTGCACACCTGTAATCCTAGCTACTCAGGAGGCTGAGGCAGGAGGATCACCTGAGCCTGCGAGGTCAAGGCTGTAGTGAGCTGTGTTCATACCACTGCACTCCAGCCTGGGCAACAAAGTAAGACCCTTCATATATTACCAAGTTGGGCAACATACATGAAATTGGGGTTAGAGTAGGGAAGTATGGGTAGAATAAGACAGGAAAAATATTTGAAGAGATAAGAACTGAAAACTTTTGCAGAAGCTCAAGACACCCCAGGCAAGGCAAGCACCAAGAAAACCACACCCAGGCGTGTCACAGCCAACAGTTGAAAACCAAAGGTGAAGAGAAAATATTAAAAGCAGATAGAGGATAACAATACATTATATCCAGTGGAAAAATAAGACTTTCAGCTGACTTAGAAAAAATGCAAATCAGGCCGGGTGCGGTGGCTCAAGCCAGTAATCCCAACACTTTGGGAGACTGAGGGGGGCAAATCACCTGAGGTCAGGAGTTCAAGACCAGCTTGGCCAACATGGTGAAACCCCATCTCTACAAAAAATAAAAAAATTAGGCATGGTGGCATGCAGCTGTGGTCCCAGCTACTTGGGAGGCTGAGGCGGGAGAATTGCTTGAGCCCAGCAGGTCAAGGCTGCAATGAGCCCTCATTGTGTCACTGCACTCCAGCTGGGTGACAGCAGAAGACCCCACCTCAAAAAAAAAAAAAAAAAAAATGGCCATACTACTGAGCCTACAGAGGCCTGTTTGCAGTGTTCCTCCCCGGATAGCAGGGGCTGCCAGGCACTTCTGAGACCTGTCTAGCCAGGGCTGGCCTCTTGGCTTAGCCCCTGTGACACCAAGCGAGGGACCGGCTGGCACCCAACTCCTGATCATTATGCTGCACTGCCACAACAGCTGGGGTTGGCGGGGGGGGGGGGTGCGTTCCAGAGGTGGCCTCTGTGTGGGGGTCTGCTGACTGCTTCTTCTGACATCCTATGGGCATGGAGACACAGGCCCACCAGCCCTTCCCTACCCCTTGCCTATGGCTTGGCCAAGCCCCTGTTCGGCATTGGTTTGCTCTGTCGCTGAGGTCGTAGTCTGCAGGAAGAGGCTGACCCTGAGAGATGCAGGGCCCACTGCTACTTGGGAGAATGCGCTGAAGGAGGGAGGCCTGGGAACCTCCTGGAGCAAGTGACATTGAGCAGAGATGGCAGAGGCAGGGAGGTGGGCAAGGCCATGGCATGTCCCCTGCCCAGCTCAAACTTTGTCCTGAAGGCCATGGGAGCGTGGGCCTTCAGCGGGGGCATGAGGCCTTCAGTGGGGGCGTGACCTGGTTAGCTCTGTGACTGGGGAGTGCTGCTCTCTGGGAGAGGGGAGGCTGCGGGCAGCCCAGGGAGGAGGCTGGGCAGGGTTCCAGGGTCGGAGCCAGGCTCCCGACTCCCCCGATGACTCTTCCTTGCAGGGGAGAAGGGGAAAGGGATCTGGGGAACGCAGGGCCATCTCCTCCTGCACCATGGAGTGTCCATGGAGTGGAGGAGGACGGTGAGCCCAGGATTGGCTCCCCTCTTCAAGGGGTCCTAACTGGGACAAAGGCCTGGGGCGGGGGGGTCTCCCTTCTCCCCTTCCACTCAGGGCACAGATGCAGACTCTGTCCTTGGAGCCCAGAGGACCATAGACCCGGGTAGAGTCTGCACTGCAAGTACAGGCAGCAGAACCCCAGTTACAGTGGGCTGGTGGAGGCAGGAGGTCACAGGGCGAAGCGCAGGACCCTGCGGACTCCAGGGCAGAGGATCTGGGCTGGTCACTGCTGGGGGGGCACTGCAGCTCCTCTGTCCAGTCCTGTGCCTAGAGGCCACTAGCTCTAGCATTTTCTCACAGGGGCCCAGGGGACATCCAAGGGCTTGGGGCAGGATCCCTGCTGGTCCAGGCTGGATCCCCCCATGCCCCGTCCCATCCTGTTCCTGGGGAGGTATTGTTCCTGTCTGGCCTGGCCGGTGGCCTTGACCCCAGCCCACATGCTGTCCCTGGCTCAAAACCGCTCTGCAGCTCCTAGGATGAAGTCCAAACTCCTTGACATGAGCCCTCCAGCCCCTCTGCAGCCCCACCCCGACTCCCACCACCTCCTGGCCATGTCTTCAGCTCACATATGCTTCCTTCTTTCCCTTTGCTGAAAATTCTCCTCCTTCAGAACCTCCCCACCCCTATCCCACCCAGACTGGAGGCCAGGCCACCTAGGGCCCAGACATCTGAGTAGGTTCGTGTCTGCACTGCATGGTGCTGACTTTAGTGAAATAAAATTGGAAATTCATTCACAACCCTTGCGGCTCCTTCCTTCAGAGATGGCTGATTGCAGGGGGGAGTTTGGGGGAACCCATCAGCATGTTCTGGGCCCTGCAGCCTCTCCAGTGTCAGCCTGCACCAGGCTATTTGCTCTCTGTAAGCCACACCGCCCCTGCCATGCTCCTTTCAGCCCCAGGGCCTTTGCATGTGCTGTTCCTTTGTCTAGAATTCTTTCATCTCTCCTATACTTAGATAACACCTCTTCATCCATTTCCCCAGTAAAGCCTTCTCTGGCCTCACCAATTAGGTCAAATGTTCCTTAGAATGTGTTGTGGGGCATGGTCTCTCCCTGTGAGGACCTGTCCAGCTGGACCTCCGCCTTCCTGCGACTGTATTGGTGTCTTTCCCTCTCAAGCCTATGAGCTCTGCAAGGGCAGGGACCCTGTATGATTTTGCCTATCGTATGTCCTCCAGCCCCCAGCACAGCGCCTGGTGTCCAGTGAGAGCTCAGCAAATACTTTGTGAGTTAAGGACAGGCGGCTGGGTAGATGGATCGTCTGCCTAGACAGGGCAGTTATTCCGCTGTGAGCAACTCTTAGAGAAACTTCATTTTTTTTCGGCGCCTGGCCGAAACTTCAAGATGTTTCCCGGCCAGGAACGGTGGCTCACACCTGTAATCCCAGCACTTTGGGAGGCTGAGGTGGGTGGATCACCTGAGGTCAGGAGTTCGAGACCAGCCTGGCCAACACGGTGAAACCCCGTCTCTACTAAAAATACAAAAATTAGCTGGGTGTGGTGGTGGGCGCTTGTAGTCTCAGCTACTTGGGAGGCTGAGGCAGGAGAATTGCTTGAACCCGGGAGGCGGAGGTTGCAGTGAGTCGAGACTGAGCCATTGCGCTTCAGCCTGGGCAACAGAGCAAGACTCAAAAAAAAAAAAAAGATTTTTCCCAAGGAACTGAGGCCTGACTGACATGTGCTTGTGTTTACCAGGACTGTCTCTTTACAGAGCATCTATCCCTCCCACCTTCCCTCCCCTCTCTATTTTGGGATTACTGGAGTCACAGACTCAGCCCGTGGCTGGCAGCAATGCTCCACCCTGCTACAGCTGCGTTCATCTTCCTGTCCCCAGATGTGGCCCCACCTGCTGGTGCTGAGGCTAGAAGTCATCACAGCCACTCCTTCGGCCGGCTAGGAGAGTCAGGTGCAAGAAGGGTTTATGGACTCTGAGTAAGGCAAGCAGGGGCTGCCTGGGAGGCAAACGCCGCGGTCTGGTTGCACTGGCCTTTGAGATGGGCGGCTCCTTCATGCCATGGGCACCGCAGAGGCATTGGCTCTGATCCTTCAACGCTGTCGCAGGGCTCCTGAGGCTTAGAGACGGAGGTCACCTCCTGAGTCATACACAGCTGAGACATCAGTGACAGGAGAGGACCCCAACTGCGTGGATACCAGAGCCCAAGGCCCCGGAAAAGGCCATTTCGCGTGCCTCCAGGGTATGGCCTGCCTGAGGAAGCTGTTACCCCACTGACGTTTTCGTAGCAACAACAGCTTCCTCACAGAAGAGGAGGGGGGCCGAGATATTATTCCCATTCGACACAGTAGGAAGCTGGGGCCCACGGGGGCCTTCGGGGGCAGATGGCAGGCAGGCTTGGGGACAGACCCCGGAGGGCAGGAGCCGGGTCCGCCGCCCCTCCGCCGGCGCCTGCGCATTGAGGCCCAGCTCCCCTCTCAACCCCGCCCCATCGCTTGGGTTTTCAAATTTGAAACCTGCTTCTTTTCCCGCCCGAACGTGTGGATCAGCGGCGGGAGAGGGCGGGGCAGAGCGCCAGCCAATAGGGCATCAGAGGCTCCCCGACCCCGCCCCGAGGATGACAACAGCGATCCTTGAGAAGCCATGTGCGAATGGGCGAGCGGCGGCCGGAGGCCCCGCCCCCGCGGCACCCACGTGCAGCGGCTGGGCCCGGCGCTTTCAGGGGACCACCAGGCCCCCAGAGCGCCGTGCTATGTTGGGGGCTAGTCACTAGCACGGGGCTGGAAGCTGAGATCAAAGACGCCAATGAGCCGGCGTGGGTGGATGAGTGAGGCGGGCAAGAAGCAGCACCGGTTAGCCTGAGGGTTCGCTCCAGGGCCAGGCCTGGAGCCAGCGCCCTTACCTGCCCCTGGAAAGTCTGAGACCACTCGGGGCGGGGCGGCTGCCGGAGGGTGGGCTGCGGCTCCGTGGCGGGTTCCAGAGGGGCGGAGCCAAGGGCTGGGCGTTCCCGCGGGCGGGGCGTCCCGGGGGCGGGGCGGGCCCCTGTGTTTGTTGCACCGTGTCAGTTACTTTGTAACAAAAGTGCTGCAGCCGCTTGCTCCGGCCGGCACCCTAGGCCGGCCCGCCGCCAGCTGTCGCCGACATGGAACCCTTGGCCAGCAACATCCAGGTCCTGCTGCAGGCGGCCGAGTTCCTGGAGCGCCGTGAGAGAGGTGAGGAAGGACCCTTGGCTGAATTCCGGGCGGCGACCTCGCTGACACGGGCCTGGACTGGACCTGGCTCCCAGCTTGAAGGATGCACCGCCCTAGGACAGTAATCCCGGGGCGCCTCGCCCTCAACTCGAGAGGAGTCCCGGGGCGGTAGAGCAGGGACGGGTGGGGGAAATGGTCCTGGCGCCAAAAGCCTTTCCTTGACCGTGCTGTGCCTGGGGCTGCCGCTGGGACCAGGTCCAGCCCCAGCCTGACGCGGGCGGGGACTCTCTCTGGCAGAGGCCGAGCATGGTTATGCGTCCCTGTGCCCGCATCGCAGTCCAGGCCCCATCCACAGGAGGAAGAAGCGACCCCCCCAGGCTCCTGGCGCGCAGGACAGCGGGCGGTGAGGAGGCCGGGGGCGGCGGGAGTGGGGGTGGGGGTGGGCGCCGCCCCTGGTCGGGCCCTCCTCTGCCCACTTGTTGCTTGCATCTTTTGGGCCAGGTGTCCCGCTCCAGGAAGCGTTCAGACCCCTCCTGCCATCTCCCCACTCTCCAAACACACTCACACCTTTCTATTCATTCAAGGACTATTTCTTGAGCACCTCTAGATGTGCCGGGAACTGCCAACAGCAGTTGGGGTCCCGCTTCCACTCGCACTCCCGCACCCCACACATCAGGCCACTCACCTCCCCCGCTGGCTTCCTCCTCTTCTCTCCTCTCCCCAGCCCTTTGCATATGCTGTTCCCTCCTATTTGAATGCCCCTCCCTCCAGTACCGGCTTGGGAAACATCTGTTTCCGCAGTTAGCTGTCACCTCTGGGAGGTCCTTTCTGGCCAGCTGGCAGGCGCCCTTGTTAGGGCCCTCATACCCACCTGGGCAGGCTTCTGTTAAGCATTTGGCTCCGTGTGTCTTTGACTCCCCTCGCCCTGCCAGGGGACTCTGGTGTCTGAGGCCAGCATGAGCTCTCCACAGGGGACTTGTTTGGGGCAGACATCTGTAGTGGCTCTTGAGCCACTGGGGGCCCTGGGATTGGGGCATGGGCAGTAGCTGATTCCCCTTCACCTCATCCTCTCTGGCATTGGCAGGTCAGTGCACAATGAACTGGAGAAGCGCAGGTGAGTCCCAGTCCTGCCCTGACAGCGCCAGCCCCCAGGGGCCACTGCCCTCTGGCCTTCCCTCCCCTGCCATTCCTGTGGCCGGCAAGGTGGGGCTGGCACTGCCCTCCAGACCTCTTCCCCACAGGAGGGCCCAGTTGAAGCGGTGCCTGGAGCGGCTGAAGCAGCAGATGCCCCTGGGGGCCGACTGTGCCCGGTACACCACGCTGAGCCTGCTGCGCCGTGCCAGGATGCACATCCAGGTGAGGCCCCCCACTGCGCCCGGACTGGCTTGCCCTGGTGTATGGAGGGCTGTGCTATGGAGGGGCTGGTGGGACTGGGGAACGAGACCTGAGGTCAGAGCTCAAGAACTGTGTGACTTAGGACAGCTCTCTGAGCTTTTACTTTCCAGATCCATTAAATGGGAAGAAAAGCAGACAATAACTCAGAGGGTTGTTGAGGCTTAAATGAGTTCACTCTATAAATGTTCACTGTTGCTGTTACAGCTGTTATCACTTAGATCACAGCTGTGAGACCTTGGGCAGGTTACTTAGCCTGTCTGGACTAACCTTCCCTCCTGTTTGAGGGGAGGGGATGGCTGTTGAATTCTGTGATGGGATGTATGTGGGGGTCCTTGGGACTGTAGAGGGTTGGTCCTTGCTCTCCCCCTCTCACCTTCAAGGCCTCCTGTTATGGGCAGTCTATCCTGGTGCCACCTGGGAGGCAGCTCCAGGGACAGGAGGGGAAAGGACTGAGAAGACGCCAGTCACTGGTCCTCCCAGGGCTCCTGCTGCTGCTGGGGCTGAGCTCAGTGCCCCCTGGTGGACAGGAGTGGATGTGCTGAATAAAGGCCCAGGTGGCCCTGGCCATGTCAGAAGTGGCCTTGGAAACCACAGGACTTTTCCTGCCCTCTAGAGGAATACATGAAGGCACAGCTAGGCTGAGGGCCAACAAGTTGCACAGCTGATGGGCGGCAGATTCAGGACCCATGCCCAGTTCCCTGGCTTGCGTTATCTCCTCTGACAAGTGTTTACTGAGCACTGGTTCTGCTAGGCCCTATTCTAGGCACTGGGGGCTGTGGCACACAAAGACCTATGCGCTGTTAGTAAATAAACCACAGCTGCGGGAACAGCTGCACTGCCGCCCGGCGTCTGTTATTACCATCATTGTGGCTGAGTAACACTCTGGTTGGGTAGTGGCCCAGTTTCTCACACGGAGCTTGCCTGGCCTGGTTCTCGGATGGATGATGTGTGCCCCTCAGGGGCTGGCTGGCCTGTGGGCAGGACCTGGGCAGTGCTCCTTCTCTGGGGCTCCATCACCCCTCTCCTGGATTAATTCACCGGCCTCCTCCCAGCCTTCCTGTTACCTGTTTTGCCTCCACCAGGCTGTCTTCTACTTTGCTCTAGAATGATCTCTGCAGCACACCTATCTACCCAGGCCCATCTCCTGCTGAAAACCCACCAGTGGCCCCTGACAGGACAAAGCCTCTGCTCCCCTTCCTTCCTGTGAAACTCAAGGCCCTTCATAACCCAGGACTTGCCAGTAGGCTGCTCTTTTGGCCTCATCTCTCCCTGTGCCCCACAGAAGCTGAATGCTCTGTGCTCTTCCCAGGCTCCCTCTGCTGTGTCTTGACGTTTCTTCCTCCCTGTGTTTGCCTCGGCAGCTCTTATCTTTCTACGCCCAGTCCAAACGCCTCCATGGCCCAGTTCTCCCCTTCTTGTTGAATGACCGAATGTAAGCTTCTGCCCACTGAGGGCTCCGCCTGGGAGAGCCCTTGGCCTTCCAGTCCTTGGAACTTCAGGGCTGGCAGAGCTTGGCGGGAGGTAGGGGTATGGGAGGGAGGGTGCTAACGCCTTCACGCTCTCGCTCTTGTAGGGATCGTGACCAGGAGCTACAGACTGGTAGCCTTTGTTTGTTCTCTAGTTTTCTAAAAATTTAAATTAGCTGTCAATCCCTCAAAAGACATTTGACATGAAAAATCTGACTTTCCAGCTAGCTTCTCGTAAAGAAATGGGGGGCCGGGCGCGGTGGCTCACACCTATAATCTCAGCACTTTAGGAGGCTGAGGCAGGCGGATTACCTGAGGTCAGGAGTTTGAGACCAGCCTGACCAATATGGTGAAACCCCGTCTCCACTAAAAATACAAAAATTAGCTGGGCATGGTGGCGGGCCCCTGTAGTCCCAGCTACTTGTGAGGCCGAGACTAGGGAATTGCTTGAACTTAAGAGGTGGAGGTTGTGGTGAGCCGAGATTGTGCCACTGCACTCCAGCCTGGGCGACAGAGCGAGACTCTGTTTCAAAAAAAAAAAACAAAAAACAAAAGAAACGGGGAGACCTGGTAACACCGGGCCTGTTTCCCATGACAGCACATGCCTGGCTCCTGAGCCAGAGTGTACACGCAGCAGTGCACCCTGCTCCCAGTTCCCACCCCTGGACGCCACAGCACTCCAGTCCTTTATCCTTGACTAGGCCCCAAATGCCTTTGAGATTGTGGTGCCCCCCCACCCCCAATCTAGGCAGCACCCTGACAGGACGTGTGCATGGCCGGAAAGGGGCTGGCTTTCTGGAGGATGTGGGTGCAACCCTCTGGGGCCTGGATTTAGTCGCCACCTGCCCGGAGTGGGCATTGGCCCTGTGGCCGTGGCCCGGTACTGAGTGGTGCTGGGGTGCAGCCCAAGCCCCCACGCCGCTGACCCCAGCCCCTTGCTCCTTTGGGATCCGCAGAAGCTGGAGGATCAGGAGCAGCGGGCCCGACAGCTCAAGGAGAGGCTGCGCAGCAAGCAGCAGAGCCTGCAGCGGCAGCTGGAGCAGCTCCGGGGGCTGGCAGGGGCGGCCGAGCGGGAGCGGCTGCGGGCGGACAGTCTGGACTCCTCAGGCCTCTCCTCTGAGCGCTCAGACTCAGACCAAGGTGAGTGCCCCGAGGCTGAGGGGTTGTGTGGCCCTCGGGGCGAGCCAGGTCTTCTGACCGGACCCCTCCCCGCGCAGAGGAGCTGGAGGTGGATGTGGAGAGCCTGGTGTTTGGGGGTGAGGCCGAGCTGCTGCGGGGCTTCGTCGCCGGCCAGGAGCACAGCTACTCGCACGGCGGCGGCGCCTGGCTATGATGTTCCTCACCCAGGGCGGGCCTCTGCCCTCTACTCGTGCCAGGCCCACTTGCCAGGCAGGAGCCCTCCCCAAGCCTTCAGGGCTGCTCGGAGTCACCTGTTGGAATGGACTAAAAGGACCCTTGTGTGGGAACAGGTGCTCCCCAAACACCCTGCTGCTGGCTGCCAGGCAGGCCCTCTGGAAGGGAAGGGGCAGGACTCATCAGGACCTCCCTGGACCCCTGCAGGGCAGGCAGCTTGGGCCCGAGCCCAAGCATTTGGCTCTGCTGCCCCCAAGGGGACAGGAAGCCTCTTGGGCCTCTTCCCTTCCTGGACAAGGCCCCCTGCCTTTGCCTCACATAAACTGTACAGTATTTTCATTAAAAGCCTCTTTCATAACTTCCCGTCCATAGTCTTGCCTAATGAAAACGGGGGAACTCCCAACCACAGACCCACTGGAAGAGGAAATAATATCAGTTCCCATCACTGACACTGTTGGCCGTGCCAGGCAGTGCACTTAATTCTCACAACTTGAGGCTGTTCTGTCTCCACTTCACGGATGGTAGAAATGAGGCTGAGTGACGTGACTCGCCTGAGGTCCAAAAACAGTGAAGCCAAGATTCAAACCAGAGCCTTCCGACTCCAGAGCTGGGGCCAACTGAATTCAACAAGTATTTATTGAGTGTCTATTATGTGCTAGATACTGAGACACATCAGAGAACAAAACCAAAAGCCCTGCCCTTGTCGGGCTTACAGTCTAGCACTTACCGCCAGTTAACCTGCAGGCTACCTGGAGCCCCGGGCAAGTCACCGCACCTCTGTGCCTCGGTCCTCAGCTGCCCAATGGGAGAATAAGCAGACCTGGCTCAGACATGAATCATGTGCTTGGTGTACTGCAGATGCCAAACTGCATCCCCACAACCCACCACGTAGACAGCAGACAGGGCTGGAAGTTGATTTTTAATGATAAAGTACAATGAAGGGAGGGCAGAGAGGCTAAGCCTAGCTGTCTGGGGTGCTGTGGTGGTGGTAGACTGGCTACACAAACTGTTGCTGCTGCTGCTGCTTCTTGGTGGCCGCCTTGCTGGCGAGGTCCTTGGCCTTCTCTGTAGCTGCCAGTGCCGTCTCCTTTGCCTTCTCCTTGGCTTCCTTGGCTGTCTCAACAAGTGTTTTGGAAGGGGCCTCGCCTGTCGCGAACGGCAGGTGGCTGCCTTTAGAAGATGCCTGAAAGACCAACCTAATTTCCCTCCCCCATGACACCAATCTCCTCTGGGCCAGGCTCCACTAAAAAGGTGGTATTCACCCTCCTCCCACCCCCAGTACAGACAAGGAGTCCCAGCTCAGAGCAGGGCAATGACTAACCCAGACTCCACGCCCGCTAGGCTGAATGAGCCTCTCCCTATGAGGAATATCCACATACCCAGAAACTCACCTTGCAGCTTAGCCAAGATATATTCAAAACCCTTCATAGTCTTGGTCACGTTGCTTTTGAATCGGGCAAGACCAAATTCCTGGCATGAGATGAGAATGGGAAGGATACTGAGTTGCCCACTGACCCCAGCCCAGCCCCAACACCGAAAGCACTGGGTCCCAGAGCCCCAGCAGCCCCAACAACACTGCTCACCTGGACAGCTCTGGAGACACCAAATAAGCTAGAGGAGACCCAGGCTTCCCGGCGGATTTCAGTCCAGCCACTGTTGTCAGAGTTCACACAGTAAACACATCGTTCCTCCACCACCTATGCAGAGGCCAACCACAATCGTGGAACAGTCTTTCATTTTGCCAACTTGCACATAAATCTGACTCCCTGTCACTTTTCATGAGGCGAAGCAATACAATGAAAATCCATTCCTTCCCCTGACTGCACCTCCAAGTGGCACTGACAGAACAAGAAGCCATAAATAAGGTCGTTTTGCTCTCGAAAACCTCTCTTCTGACTCTTAAACTAGAAGGCAAAAGGTCTCTCTCTTGAGATCAACAAAGGGCCTTCCAGCCCATCCTGCTCCTGGATTTTGTTTTGTGCATCTAGACGCATGCAGTGTTTTAGCCGCCTTCCACCAGCTGCAGCTCTGGAGCTTCCTGACAGTCCAAATAAAAACATTTGCCCGGCGCGGTGGCTCACGCCTGTAATCTTAGCACTTTGGGAGGCCGAGGCGGGCGGATCACTTGAGGTTAGGAGTTCGAGACCAGCCTGGCCAACATGGTAAAACCTTGTCTGTACTAAAAATACAAAAATTAGCCAGGCGTGGTGGTGTGTGCTTAGAAATCCACCTCTTCAGAAGGCTGAGGCACGAGAATTGCTTAAACCCAGGAGGTGGCAGTGGCAGTGAGGTGAGATCATGTCACTACACTCCAACCTGGGTGAGACTCTTGTCACCAGAAAAAAACAAAAAACAGAAAAAAAAAAAAGAAAAGCACTGCCTCCGCCACTCAGCATCACTCCTGTGAGTCCAACATATATCTGTGCCATAGATGCCAGATGGGAGCGCTTTGCATTTAGAACTTAGGACAACTCCGTAAGATAGGTACCCCTCCCCCACTGTATGAATGAGTCAAAGGACAGGTCCAGAGAGGATGGCCAGCTGAAAAGAAGAAAACCTGAGGTCATACTCTACAGCTGTCAACCCTCAGTAACCCAGACCTGCCTCCGGCCACAAAAGCTGCCTTATGGCTCTCTAGCCACATGTATCTGAGGAGCTCTCTATCTCGGGGGGAGGGGAGAGGGGGAGGTGCAGAATCACAACAGGAGGTGTCTCACCATCAGCCGGGCGTGGTTGATGTTCCAGGTGAAGGTAGTCATGGTCTGATTCTGTGGGTCCACAATAGAGTCCTCCAGGACGTACACCGAGTGAGCAACATTGGCAGGAAATAGTCGCTCGGCCCAGCGTGGCATCCTGTTGGTCTTGGTCAGGAGTCGCCGGGACAGCAGTTTCTGGTCAGGGGTCACCTCCCGGTGTACTATGTCTTCCGTCAAGACATGTTTGCTGCAGGTGTCAGGGTGAAGGTGACCCTCAGAAGCTTGCCCCTAAGAGACTGCCCGAGGGGATTCCCATTTGGAGGCTCCGGGCCTAGAGAGGCCACGCCTTCCCGTAACCTTGCAGGGTGGTATGTGCTATGGTTCAAACCAGAGTTAAGGGCCCATCCCAGGGCAAATTCCCACTCCCGCCATCTGACTGACCTGGATTCCTGCCTTCTAGCAGGAATGGACCTCATGATTTATTGCACCCCAGGAAAGCGCCACGGGCAGAGAAATAGGATTTCCAACTCCAAGATCCCTCCCAACTCCCATACTGCCGCCTCTTCTTGTCTCACCACACTGAGAAAAGAATCTTACACTAAGGTCTCAAGTAAACCACCACCCAGGCCCAACCTCCCTTCAGGACCTTGCAGGCCTGGCCTGGCCGCTTCCCCGATAAGGTCTACCTAGGATTCGATATCGAGTCCTTCCTGGTCCCAGTACTTGGGGGTTACCCATAATTCGATCTCCAGATAGCGAGATGGCGCGGTTTTGCTCTTCCAAATACCACGTACCTATAGGGATTCGGGTACCGCTGCCAGAAGGCGGCGAACACTTGGTCCCAGGAACTCCGGAGCACGCTCTGGCCCAGGAAATACTTCACCATCGTCCCGGCCGAAGCGGGCTCAGCACCCGCGCAGCATCAGGGGTGCGGAGCCTGGGAGGCACGCGAGGGCCGGGCCGGGCCGGGGCTCGGCGCACACCCGCCGCCAGGCTCGTAGCTCAGTCACCACCGCACCGCGCCCAAGCAGCTGCCGCCGCCGCCGCCGCCGCCATGAGTTGTCCGGCCGCGCGCCACTTCCGGCGCAGCCACACAGTAGCCACCGCTTCCGGCGCCCGCGCCACGTGACCTTGCGGCCCCGCCCCCTCGCCCTCTAGCCCCCTCCCGCGGGAGTCGCGGCGCTGCGGGTAGGAGCCGGGTTGCGGGAGACCCCAGGTTCGGTTGGGATTCCCAGCCAGAACGGAGCTTAAGCCGGGCAGGCGAGCGAATGACGGAGTAGCGAGCTGCACGGCGGCGTGCTGCGCTGTTGAGGACGCTGTCCCGCGCGCTCCCAGGCCGCCCCGAGGCTTGGGGTCTTCGAAGGATAATCGGCGCCCGGGGCCGAACAGCGGGGGCACACGGGGCGCTGCCGAAGTGCAAGGCCACGGCCAGAGCTCGAGCCCGACGCGCTGTCTGGAGTCGTAGGTTGGCGCCGTTTGGGGTCGGGGTCTGAGGCTTGGGCGCTGCCTGGGCCGAGCGGAGATCGGGGTTTGCCTCCCGTCCCCGCTCAGGACCCTGACGTGGCTGAAGCGGCCCCGGGAGCATGAGCGGGCAGCGCGTGGACGTCAAGGTGGTGATGCTGGGCAAGGAGTACGTGGGCAAGACTAGCCTGGTGGAGCGCTACGTGCACGACCGCTTTCTGGTGGGGCCTTATCAGAACGTGAGTGCATCCGGAGGGGCCAGGCACGGTGGGCGGGGGAGTGGGGGGCCGGTAATCTGCACCTATGGCCCCGATCTCTTCCCTCTCGTTGCAGACCATCGGGGCCGCCTTCGTGGCCAAGGTGATGTCGGTCGGAGACCGGACTGTGACATTAGGTATTTGGGTAAGTCCCCCGGCCATCTATTCTTGGGAGACTCATTCCTGAGGAGGTGTAGGTCCTGCCTATTACTGGTTGATTTGTGGCCTCACAGACCCATTTCTCATAGACCCGTTTCCTTATCTGGAAAATAGCGGGGTCTGGAGAACGTGGCCTTAAGTTTGACTCAGGCCTTACTCTTTAGGACACAGCAGGCTCTGAGCGCTATGAGGCCATGAGTAGAATCTACTATCGGGGTGCCAAGGCTGCCATCGTCTGCTATGGTAAGGGGGGGGGGGGTTTGGGCTGTCTCACAAGAAAAGATGGGTGCCAGGCTAGCCAGAGAACAGCCCTTGACCACTTGGTTGTCTCCTGCATGCCGCACACCAAGACCTCACAGACAGCAGCAGCTTTGAGCGAGCAAAGTTCTGGGTGAAGGAACTGCGCAGCCTAGAGGAGGTAGGTGAACAGACCTCACTAGAACACTAGGGGCTGGGGTTTTGTTGGCCTGTGGAGGTGACCCTTGTCTTCTGCCTCAGGGCTGCCAAATCTACTTATGTGGCACCAAGAGTGACCTGCTGGAAGAAGACCGGAGGCGTCGACGTGTGGACTTCCACGACGTCCAGGACTATGCAGACAGTAGCTGCTCCTCAGCCCTTTGGGGGGTGGGGGTGTGTGGCTGTCTGGGTGGATCAAAGAAAATAGGGACTGCCTTGGCTGCCAGGGCAAGGTGCTCTAGGAGGTCTTCCTGGCCTCCTTGAACTGTGGGGTCCAGGAGACTCCCTGAACTGCTAGCCCTCCCTTTTGTCTGTTTATCTAATTCTCAGGTATGAGGCTTTAGTCACTTCTCTTTACAGATATCAAAGCTCAGCTCTTTGAAACATCCAGCAAGACAGGCCAGAGTGTGGGTGAGTGCTGTGCTGGAGCCTCACAGCAGGAACATGCAGGGGCACCAGAGGAAGCTGAATAGGGCACAGAGGGCTGGGTCACTGGGAGATCCCAGGGCTACTGGCATTGGGCCCTCGCTGATCATCATTTTTCCTGCCAGACGAGCTCTTCCAGAAAGTGGCAGAGGATTACGTCAGTGTGGCTGCCTTCCAGGTGATGACAGGTGTGTGCTTCCCCAGCCTTTATGGAGACTTACTCTAGGCCCACAGCATCTAGCCCCTTTCCTGAGTTACCTGATCCCAACAGAATGGTGCTGAGCTGCCACCTCTCTTTTTGACAGAGGACAAGGGCGTGGATCTGGGCCAGAAGCCAAACCCCTACTTCTACAGCTGTTGTCATCACTGAGTCAGCACTCACCTGGCCTGGGGGAATTAAAGGAATTCCCCGTAAGGGCTGGACCCAGCTCCTTTCTGGGCTTGGGTAGTCAAATGTCTGAGCTACCCCAGGTCCTCATGTCAGCAGAGTGGCGCCTGCCTGTGCTGGCCCATGGAACGGAGACAGCATTGGGCTGACTGTGGGCATGAGGAGGGATAAGGCTGATTTGGACCCCAGGCTTCTGCCCTGGACAGCACTTGTGTCTGCAGATTATTTAAGTGGCTTTTGATCTGTAAATAAAATCAGTGCACTGTGCATCACACCCAGCCCCTTTCCCTGCTGTGTGGATTAGGTGTCAAGACACCTAGTTCTTCCTGGGGCCACCCGGCTGGCCTCACTGCTTATATTAAGGCTCCTCCCAACTCTCATTTTCCTTTGGAAAACAAGACTTTTTTCCCCATGGTTACCGCTGAGATACTGGGGCTGTAGTAGTATAAAAGCTCACAGTTCCTTCTGAGTGCTGAAAAGAGTGCATGAGTTGCTTCGAAATAAAAGGGTCAAGCATTCCTACCTGAGACAGGTTGGTCTGACTAGCTCTACTGCATCTGTCATGTTTGGGCCCCTATGTCAGACCTGTGACTCAGGTCCTGAGCTTCCCAGTGACATCCTACAATGTGGTTTAATGGTAGGAAAGTCCTAAGTTCTGTAAGCCAGAAAGGTCTAATGGATCCAGATTTGGTTCCAATTCAGCTGCTAATTTAGAAAAGGGACTTAAATCCTCATCTTGAGTTTCTCATCTGTAAAATAAGGTGACTACTATGCAGCCCAAGGATTGTGAAGAAAGTGAAGAGTAACTCTAGTACTAAATGTTTTTCCCAATCTTCCCAAGCACTTTTTGCTGAAAGGGCAGGAAGTTCAGGACTAGGTCACAAAGGGAAGCAAACTCCCAAGTTTTCCCCAAAGAAGATCCAGATATTTCTGAGGAATCAGGTGTTAACTGTAAACAGGGCTGACACTTGCTGCTCAACCAGAAGGAAATTTATTGCAGCCCTTTCTGGTATGGAGGGTGTGGCCCCAGGCCAGGGGCTTTCCCTTAGTTTTATCCTTTGCCTCTGCTTTCCTGCCTTTATTTAGGCCTGGGCTGAGTCCTCTGCAGTGGCCAACACCTGCCTTGGAAAAATGTACAACTTAGCCAACATGGTCAGACTCACACTCAGAGAGTGCTTTGGTTCCACTTCCTTTTTAAAAACCAATTCCTCAAACTGCCCTTCCTTCATGAGTGATGGGGGCTTCCTGTGGAGGGAGACTGAAACTGAAACCAGCCACTCCCAACAGAGGGAGAAAGAGGCTTGGGCAGCCCTGTGGCTGCTGAGAGGAAACACACTATTCCCATGACGTGCTTGGAGGAAGGGCTTAGCTTCACAGTATCCCTGCGCCCCCCGCCCCCCACCTCGTACTATCTCTGGGGCTGGCTTCTGCTCTCACCCCAAACAATCCTCCCTCCTGTTAGACTACAACTCCCCACAGCCAATAAAACAAAACACAGGGCAAGGGCCATATATGAGTAAAGTTAAACTTTACTTTACAGTAAATTTTTTTTCTATATACAAAGAATTACAGTACATGTTTATGGGGACTCCTAACACAGGGCTCCCCTCTTTTTCACTAGGAGTTTCACTTACAGCTGACAATCTATGGGGGCGGGGGGGGGGGGGCGCGGCAAAAAAGCAATGATGGACCTTGGCTGATCCCCCCGACCCCTTTCTTAACAATATAGGTAGATGTCTATCGTCAGCTTGCCTCTTTGCCAAGACCTAGGAGGCGGCTCTGCCATGAGCTGCTGTGTGCTGCCCTCCCCACCTTCAGCACACTCATCTACACACACACAGGTAGCACCCACCTCGATGAGACCGCCTTGCTCTGGCCTGCCCCAACCCTGGAAGTTGAAAACATAGAACCATTTATTTCTGCTTCTACTCTCTGTGCCCATGTCTTGTCCACGAAACTTTGCTGAACTTCCAGGACCTTACACCTGAAGCCCCACAATAACCTGATGTTTTGAAAGCCATGGGAAAGCAGCTCTAGAGAAGGAACCACATAAGCAGAAACAGCGCATGTTAAACTCGAAACACTTCTTCCGAGGTTGTGGATTTCTAGTTTAATTCTTTCCACTTCCTTAGAAAATACTACCCTTAATCTTCATAAGCAGTAGAGGGGCTTCCATGAGTGGAAGAGGTAGAGAGGGGCAGAAGGGAGCTGAGGAAGACCCAACAACCAGAGCTCTCTAACAACCTGCTCCAGGCAGCGTGGACGGAGGCTATGGACAAGGTGGCCCCAGCCCTGAGAAACTCAATGGCCACCTTCACCTGGATATAGGATCTCTTCCACCTCTGGATTGCACTGGGCCACTCCAGGGTTGGGTGCAGGCTTCACTGAGGATCTTCCTTCTCCCCACTTTTAACAAAGCCTCAAACTTTTCTACATAAAATCTCCTCCCAAACAGGAACCCGGGTTTCTTGAGCTGCCAGTCCCTCAACCCTTGGCAGTGCTTATTTATACCGTGAAATTAGCACCATCATTACATTTTATTGTGTGTGTGTACAAAACAATGATCTATTCTTATTTCAATTTACACTATAGCAGCCTCTGGCCCTGTTGCACTGGCCCTAGGAAGCTCAGCTGAGAACTAACTGGCCATAGCCAATGACAGGCTCCCACAGCAACTACCAAGCAGTGACTTGGAATGTCTACACATGGAACTGCTCAAATGAAACTCAGCAAGAAAGGGGCTGGAGGCAGCTCCTTCTCTGCCATGATCTGAGAGAGGTTAGGACACTGGGCTCCTCTAACCTGGCTGATAAACCCCAAGAGGATGACAGTATCATTTAAAAAACCTTAGTAAAATCCACCTTATAGGGACTAAGGGTAAAACCTATCCAAGTTTCATGCTGTCCTCATTACTCCCTATGGGGGAATCTGTCAGGACTAAACTTTCTGCCATTCTGTTCTCATGAGGCAACATTAGAATTACAACCTGGGAGTCCGGCTCCAGTGAGCAGACAGTGCCGAGCCTGGGAAGGGATCAACAGGGTGTTTCATGCCCTGACCATAGTGTGGGGTGAAGGATGTAAAGAATAAAATAACTATTTTCATCAATGCTAAAGATTTGGTTCAGAAGAGGGTCAACACAGTGATTTAAGTCATCTCAAACTCAGTAACAGGGTAAAGCAGACATTTAAAAATGAGGATGTTTCTGTATCAATGACAGCTATTTTGCTATTAGACTGGGTTGGCTCCAGCAAGATAAGCAAATGAGGCTTTGAATGTAAATTTCAACATTTTTCATAATCTTTTTCTGACTTAGCAGGGCTAGATGTATTGGCTTTCTAGCTACCCATGGAGAATTTCAACTTTTGCCTTGTCCCTGGAAAAGGCCTCCTGGGGAGCTGGCTCCAAGGCAAACACTCTTGAGATCTCAATTTCCAAGCACATACCCAAATACCACCCTGCGTTAAGGACCAGAAGTTTTCTAAGATGAAAGATTTCCTTTTCACTCCAATTCACATCCCTTTGGAAAAGGGGTCTTATTACAAACTTCAGGGGACGTCCCACAGGGCTGGCAAGGCCACTCCCTCCCCACCTTCCTCCAAGAGTCACATTTCCCAACAGTTGTTGTGACTCTGCTTCTAATTGGATAGTGACTGCTTTCATGATTTTAACCATCTAGTATCACATGCTGCTACTGGTGGGCCCAATAGCTCAAATTTCTAGTTTCCAGTGGTTTTCTAGTTCCCATTCAATGGCCCTTGAAGGAAGCCCAGATGTCCATCCATTCAGATGAAGAACTGCTCCCCAAAATGGCTCAGAAGCTGTTTTCCCAGGCAGGTCTGGAACGAAGCCTCCAATGAATGGCGGAGAATGGAAAGAACCAAAATAAAACCACAAAGCAGCCAATCATGGCCCCTTTCCCTCACTCCCTCCTGTCCTGTGAGACATCTAGACTGCTGTCAAGTTGATTACCTACCAAAGCCTACTTTAGAGAAGCTACTTTAGAATCAAACTTCTCCACGGAAAATTTTTACATGGCCTGCACGCCCTCCCCCCGCCCCCCCCAAATTCACAGTTTATTTCATGAAACAAAGAGCTACGGTAATTTAACACACAACATAGTGAAAGGAGACTCTGACAGTGCAGTGCAGATACCTTTTTCTGATCACAACTACAGATGACTGGAGAGAAAAGGGCACAGGACTGGCACCAAGCAAACCCTACTCATATGACCTAAAAGATTAGGGAAAGGGACCTACTAGCTGCAGTTATATATTTATTATTCTCACACATGATAAATACTTAATATAATGAACTTTAATGTTCTCGGTGAATTTCTTTAAAAATATCTTTTTCATGGTTTAAAATTCTTTTAAAAGAAAATAAGATGCTTTACGTTTTCTCTTCCTTTTGAACAAAGAGCTTTTCCTCTTTGATGATGTGGGAAGAGAGAGAGGATGAAAGGGGAGAACTAGGCAGGTGGAATTCACAGAGGAGATTCCGAGGTCTCAGTGAAATGCAGGGATAGGCCCCTAAACTCAGGACAGCCCTGCCCAGCCTCGTCCCTCTGCCTGAGTTCAAGTGTCTCAACCTCAGAGACAGACTTTGGGAAATAAAAGCAGATTCTATTTTTAATCTTTAGATAAAGCGCAAATGCTTCTATAATAACTACTGTTCCCTCCGTGGAATTGATGGGAGTAACCTCAATAAGAACTTGAGGAAATTGGGACCAAATACAGAATCCTATTGAGAGCGTGAAAGCCATAACTAAGAGATAATGGCCAGGAGACGTTAGGGCCGGGGATGGCCTGCTGGCTAAGTTGGCAAAGCAGAGAGGTAAACATGTTGGTCTAAGGACAAAGGAGGGGTAGACAAGTGGGAGGAAACTAGCCAAACAGCACTTCCTGTTGGCAGTCTGTGAGCTGGGTGAATGGTAGGGCAGGGTAGCACCAACAGATTTCCCAGCCCTTGGGCCCCAGCTCAGGGCAGCAGTAACAGATAATCAGCAGTTAATAGGAGTCATCTCTTAGCCTGGACGTTGCTCTAAACACCACCTCTTGCCAGTCTTCAGGGAAGGGTTCTGGCTTGCCTTTGAGCTAAGTCAGCAGGCAGGTGCTCTCAATACAGAGCACAGCAATTCTCAGGGAGGCGAAGAAGAGGACTCCCTCCACTCAGGAGGGAAAAGGAATGGGGAAAAGAAATTTCCCATCAGGATCTGGTACTCTTCCTGAAGCTGGTGTGTCTAGCTCAGAGCTTGCCAGAGATTCCCTATGTCCACTGCCCGAGGCTCTGAAATCTGAAAGCACCTGAGTGTTTTAGGGAAATAGGGATGGGGTGGATTCATGTACAAAGAGAAAAATAGGTAGAAACAAAAGCAAAGAAAGAGAAGCTTGCCAAATGCCTTCTTCCACTGCTGGAAATCTACATTCGCACAGAGCCCGACTGCCCCTGACCACCTGCTCCTCCAAGGACTGATCTTGAGACTCTGCACAGCCCAGACAAAAGCAGCAGCGGCGACCCCACAGCCAACAGCCTTGCTGGCCTCAATGCAGCACCCTTGCATCTATAGAGGAGACCTCTGTGAGTGTGCGCGCATGCACACGCACCCATGCACACCGCAGCCAAGAGACACTTCCTCAACACAACCACTTCTGGTGCCACAAAGGACATTTCAAAATGAGTCTAAAGCCCCAGGGCCCCTCAGAACTTCCTGTTACTTCCTGGTCAAAGGTTCCTGAAAGCCTTGGAATCCAGGCTCACAGGGATGAGGCCTGTATCTCTCATCAGTGACTAGCACCCGGCCTAGAACACGTGAATGCTCAGGAAATCGCCACTGATTTGAAAGAACACCATTTCCTCCCAAGGGTTCCTAGGTGCCCTCAATGGGGCTCTGTCTGGTTGGGGAAATCGCTTTGAGAGCCCCTATACCTTCCAACCTGACCAGCGGAATTGAATTCCATACTTGACTCCAGAGTGGACTTTTTATTTCACGATGACCATGTGGAAAAGTTGGGGGAAAGAGACCCAAGTCTGTCTGTCTCCTTGGTTGGGGCCCACTGGATTTTCATACATGGTTCACACAACCATAAGCCCCCACTGGCTAATGTCACAAGAGTTCTGAGTGTTGGGATATGAGGAAAGAATAACAGTGGGAAAGTGTTCGGGGCAGATGTGTTTTTTTTTAAGGGGGAAAGAAAGAAAAGATTTCCCCTCCCCAAATGGTACCCTGGGGGCAGCTTGTTTGTTCATGTGACATTGATTGGTACTACTTCTGTTCTGATTCTGCACACTTGTGACTGGAAGGAGCCTGGTTAAGAGCTGGAAGTGTATTTTGCTCTGGTTTGGGGTCTTGCCCTCTTCCAAGAGACCAGCAAGTCTGTGCCAATGTCTGTGTGCTCCCAGCAGACCAGCAAGACTGTGCCAGTGTCTGTCCAGCCACTATGGGCCAGAGCCCTGCCCGTGATGAGGCTTTTCCCAGGGCCCAGGGACTTTGCTCTGTGGTTACCAACTTCTTTTCTTCAGTGGGGAGGGAGGCTGGGGCCTTCCCGAGAGACCTAAAAGATTGCCCACTCTTGGCGGCAAGTGCAGGTAGTTGCTGGCCTCCGACCATCTGCTTCGCCTGCTTCACCAGGCCCGGGGATTGGCTAAGAGGCCCTGGGGTCTGCTCAGCCCCTGCAGAAGCTCTTCCTGAGGCCTGAGTTGTTGGCTCATATAAAAAGGCCTTGGCAGGAGGCTGAGAAAGAAGTCTGGCCTGGGTGAGTGATTTAACAGCTTGCCAGGGGTCCTCTGAAGGGGCTGCTGCTTTCCCAGATGTCTGAAGAGGATCTGACACACAGCCTTTCTCAACAGCTCTCGGCATATGCCCCAGACCTTTGCTGGCAGGCCATGAACTTGACTCCAACACTGGCATCTTCTCATCAGCCTGTGGTGTGACCTGATGAGGTGAAGCTGCCCGCTCCTTCTGGCGAGGAGTTAGGTCTATGAGATCCATCACCAAAGCAGCTCTATTTTTTGACTGAGTATTCTGGTCCACAGGCCTCAGTGCTTTTTCTTTAGCTACAAGGGTCTGGACCACAGCTGATAGTACTTTCTCAGGAGGTGGGAGTCTCTGGGACAAAGAGGCATGGGGTTTGTCAGTAGGCCTGTCTGAAGTCTGGGGTTTGGGACTGCTAGTAATGAGCAGTCTGTCTGGCGGCGGAAGTCTCAGGCCAGTGGGAACTGAGGTTTTCTCCAGTGACTGGGGCCTTGGGCTGGCAGCACCTATGGATTTATCCAGCCTTGGGTCAGCCGTCCCCAGAGGTCTTTCCAGTGGTTGGGACCTGACTGAGGGTGAGGAGCTTGGGCTGGTCACTGGAGAGGGTTTGTCGCTTAGCTGGGGTCTTGGTCCTGCCACTGCTGGTGGCCTGTCCAGTGGCCTCTGGCTGGAAACCAAGGATTGGGATTTGGTCCCTGACCCAGCGAGGTCTCTGACCTTATCTAAAGGCTGGGGCCTGGAGTCAGTTCTCTCAAGAGGTCTTTCAGGTAGCAATGGCCTCTGACAAGTCCCTGCCAGAGCTTTTTTGGAGAGCGACAGCATCTGGTTGGTGTCAGCAGGAGGTTTATCTGACATTTTGGGTGCCTGAGCAGCCATTCCTGTTGATTGCTCTGCCAGGTGAGTGCTTGGCCCTGGAGGCAGCGGTACTGGGGGAGGCACATACTCACGGATCTCCCCAGGTTCCAGAGGATTGGGCCCACAGGGGTCATGCTCAGTACAAGACAGACGCCCATCCAGTTTGGAAATGAAAAGCATCCCTTCTCGATGCTGCTTACAAAAGGAGCTGGGGCACATCTCACAGAAGGAGGCTGCTTCCTTCCCGCAGATGTCACACTGATGCCACGGACATTCCCATTTCCCTGAAAACACAGAAGTAAATCAAAAGTTTAGGAAAAAAGAGATACATATCACATGGGCCAAGGCTATGCTACAGTCCGAAGGTGTGGATGATGACCTTCCTTCACACTGTCCCTGCTTCAGAGAGCTTATGCCACTCACCAGCCACCTCTTGCCCCAGAATTCCAGCTTCTTTTTGTGCACAGAATACATAAAGTAACAGCGAATTATCAAATAGCAACTACTATCAACTAAATATACAAGCAGAAGAGTAAATTGGTATTTCTATGACTATTTCCAGCAAGGAGGTGAGGGGGGGGCGGGGGTGGGGACAACAAAAAGTTTCTTTTACATGAAACTTAAGATATTACTTTTATATTTTTGCAATCTCCATTTGTACTATACAGCTTTTAAATAAGCAACTCAAAGAGAAATATCCTGGTGATTTAGATTCCTGCTTATTTGCTATTAACAGTAATAGAAAAGATATAAAATCATGAAAAATGGAAGATTTACCTTTGCTCTATTTTAAGTCTTGAGATCAGCACAGCACGTTATATGTTGTTCACATGGAATCAGTAGAAAAGACCCAAAGCTGACCTAAGCTTTTACCTGCCTCCCCACATTTCATGAAACCTGAGGGTCTTGACCAGGGACAGTGTTTCCACCTTCAAATCAACTACACCAGCTCCCACTCCTGGCACACAGGCAAGATTGGTTCTATCATAGCCTGCGCCAGTGACGACCCTGAGCAGTTGATTCTGAAACAATTCTACTTCCTGGTGCTGACAGGTCAATGTGATGGCCTTGCCCTCATCCTACCTCAGTTTCTTTTATTTCATGACCCTGGCCAATATACAGTGAAGGAAAGCCAATTTGGGGACAAATTCCTTTTACTTATACCCTAAAGTTCTTAACGTTCTGCAACTCTTGGAAGCAGGTCACTAGTAATGTATAATCTCCTCACCCTGGAATGGCTCCCTACTGGTTTCTCTTTTTTGTTCATTAAAATAGATGGCATATCCAAATCCCTAAAATTCTCTAACCCCAAATCACTACTCAAAGGTTCTCAATTTCTTCAACTACAAATTTCCTGGGTACCACATCCACCTGAGCAGCTTTCTCATGTATTAACTGATACAACCAAATCTCCTTTAGAGGAAAAAAGTCTACTCTGCATGGGGGGAGACTGCACTAGGCGTAGGGGAGCAAGGTAGGAAGTGCTAAAAGGGTGGCAATCCATCTCTCACTGACTAGAACCACCTAAAGGCTTTACTATCTCAATCTTTCTTTCTCTAGAAAGGCAACATGATTTAATAGTCTTGGAGTCAAAAACCCAGCTCTCAATCCAGCTCCTCTATCTATGTGTGAAAGATCACCTCCCCAATCCTCACTCTGTTTCTTCACATGCATTATGGAAGAAAACCAACCATTATGGGCTGCTGGGGGAATGAAATAAACATGACTGTAAGTAAAGGACCTGAAACACAGCAAGTGCACCGCTGTCCCATTCTTCATAACTAAGAATTCTAAGCCTTTGCTTTCATTATTTCCAAAATAAGAAAATAGACCATACCCCTCAAAATTATGCATGGAAAGACCAAATGGCACTTTCTTCAAGGCTGATGCAAATGGCATGAGACCCTGAGTATGATGGAGAGAACGAGTAGCGGTACAAATGGATTTTGGCACCAACCTGCTGGTCGCTTGGTCAGATTGAGACAGTCTGCGTGGTAAACTTTTGGGCAGCCTGGTTTCTTGCAGGAGACGAGCTGGCCAGCATCCCCACAACTAAAACACTCATCTTCTCGCTCCTTTGTGATTTCACCCTGGGTCCTGCGCTTTCCCTGTTGCTTCTTCTTGAATTTCTTTGACTTTTCTTCCGTGGCAATGGGTTGATTCTACAGGTCAGATATTGAACAGTCAGCATTCTGTGAACACATTAGTACCAATCTTAACCGGGTTAACTACCCTCTCTGAGCCTCATTCTCTTCTCTGGGAAAAGAGATTGTCATGAAGATAAAATGCAGGAAAGGTACCTGGTACATCACAGATACGTAGCAATAATTTTTGTATCAACTACTCCTGCCACCTGAACAAAACAGAAGACAAAAATCTTTGTGTTTTTGCTGATCCATAAGGCTGGTGTTAAATGACATGCCTTTCATAAGTTTTATTAGTTAATTAATTTATTTATTTTTCAAGACGGAGTCTTGCTGTGTTGCCCAGGCTGGAGTGCAGTGGCGCGATCTCGGCTCACTGCAACCTCCGCCTGCTGGGTTCAAGCAATTCTCCTGCCTCAGCCTCCTGAGTAGCTGGGATTACAGGCGCCCACCACCACTCCTGGCTAATTTTTGTATTTTTAGTAGAGACGGGTTTTCAGCATATTGGTTAAGCTGGTCTCGAACTCCTGACCTTGTGACCCACCCGCTTTGGCCTCCTAAAGTGCTAGGATTACAGGCGTGAGCCACCGCACCTGGCCAAAGTTTCACTTTTATATTCGTCTACTTTCAGAACTAAACTAGACTTCTGTGTGTGGGTACACATGCCTATTTCTCGTTCATTCAACAAAGCATAACTGAACTTACTATAAGCAATGTGTTAAGACACAAAAAAGTTAATTCATGGTCCCTGCCGTCAATAAGACTACACATCAAGTCAAATTAGCTTCAGGTCCACCACTCCCAAGGCAGACCCTGGAGCAGCCAGCAGATGTTCTCTCTTTGTTCCCTGCAGCCCACACTTGGTCACCAAATCATCTTATCACATTCTTCATTTTAACCCAGAAACATCCAGGACCAATCTGTAAGGCTTAATGGAGGTCCACCCTATTCTGACAGACCAGTATCTACTAAGAGCACACAGTGACCTCTCTAGCATCTACCTCTGACTGACTCCTGTGAAATGCTATCCCATGCAGACATCAAGGATGCTGAAACTGACATCCGCACTACACTTAATACCATTAAGTACAGGTTAAACTGAGTTACTATTTTAATTTATAGGAAACAAGTCAACATCTTAAGGAACAACACCGTTAAACCAACAAAACTAAACAAAAAGCACAATAAAATCCAGTATAATATAGAGGTGATTCTCCTTATTTAACAAGATTAAAAAATGATCATTGAGTGCTCTTCATTTCTGGCCAGGCGCAGTGGCTCACGCCTGTAATCCCAGCACTTTGGGAGGCTGAGGCAGGTGGATCACCTGAGGTCAGGAGTTTGAGACCAGCCTGGCCAACATGGGGAAACCCCATCTCCACTAAAAATACAAAAAATTAGCCAGGTGTGGTGGCAGGGGCCTGTAATCCCAGCTACCTGGGAGGCTGAGGCAGGAGAATCACTTGAACCTGGGAGACGGAGGTTACAGTGAGCCGAGATCATACCATTGCACTTCAGCCTGGGCAACAGAGCGAGACTCCGTCTCAAAAAAAAAAAAAAAAATTTATTTACTCTTTTCTTATTGGCTTCTATGTTAATTTGCATTTTTCAGTTCTTAATGTTGAGCTTCACAATCAAAAAGGCATATGGAACATACTCAATTGAAGTCACTATATAGTTTATTTTGTATCAAAATTAAACTGCAATTTTCACTGTGCTGTTACTTATGATACAGAAATCTTGAATTATCCAGATGTTCATCTAGTATGTCCATCCATTATATAAAAAAATTAAGACAGTCACTAAAAATGATCAGCAAGGACTTTAAAAAATAATAATATAAGGGCCGGGCACAGTGGCTCACGCCTGTAATCCCAGCACTTTGGGAGGCTAAGGCGGGCGGATCACGAGGTCAGGAGATCGAGACCAACCTGGCTAACAACAGTGAAACCCTGTTTCTACTAAAAATATAAAAAATTAGCCGGGCATGGTGGCGGGCGCCTGTAGTTCCAGCTACTCAGGAGGCTGAGGCAGGAGAATGGCGTGAACCCGGGAGACGGAGCTTGCAGTGAGCCGAGATTGCGCCACTGCACTCCAGCCTGGGCAACAGAGCGAGACTCCACCTCAAAAAAAAAAACACAAAACAACAACAACAAAAAAAATAAGGAGAATATAGACATGGAAATGATACTTAACAGTTACAGAATTAGAATTCAATTATTCAGAAAGTGCATACTAAAAAAACAGGAAGACACAACAATGCTTATACTTTTTTATAATGGTGAGATTAAGAGTTCTACTTTTATCTATGATGTTATGCTACATTTAGAAGCTTAAACTGCAGATTTTTTGGTATCTTCAGAAAGAGAAAGTGAGAGAAAGACAGGGACAGACACAGATATACCAAGAATCTATATGGCTTATTAGGAGATGTGAGATCAAGACGAGGGAGGTAACTAACCTTCTTTATAAGGTCCTATTTCACAGCATTATTAGTTAGAAAAGTAGCACCAATTAAAGTCAGATGGCCCAAAACACTTCAACAATATCCCCAAAAACCTCTTATATAATTGATCAGCCGAATGCTTAGTGAATTGCAAGTGGCCCTATCAACACCTATTCAATGTCATTGAATTTTTCTTTTTTTTTTTGAGAAGGAGTCTTGCTGTGTTGCCCAGGCTAGAGTGCAGTGGTGTGATCTCAGCTCACTGCAATCTCTGCCTCCTGGGTTCAAGGGATTCTCCTGCCTCAGCCTCCTGAGTAGCTGGGACTACAAGCACATGCCACCACGGCCCAGCTAATTTTTCTATTCTTATTAGAGATGGGGTTTCATCATGTTGGCCAGGCTGGTCTCGAACTCCTGACCTCAGGTGATCCGCCCACCTCAGCCTCCCAAAGTGCTGGGATTACAGGCATGAGCCACCATGCCTGGCTGAATGTCATTAATTTCAAAGAGATTTCTTCTTAAAATGTAGACTGCCCTAACACTGTTAGGGAGGGAGGACCGCACCACTAATCCCAAAGCAGAAGTCTAGAAGGGTGGTACCTTTGGCCTTACACCCAAGAAGCCACTGCAGTTCGGGGCTCCACATTTGCAAACAGTCTTTCCATTCCCAAGACATTCTAGGTTGTAGTTGAAGGTAAGTTCAGTGCCTGCATAAGAGACCGTGAAAATATTAATATCTATGGTTTTAATTACATTATTTCTGTATTAATTACAAAGGATACCAACTCCCAAGAGAACAGATTAATTTTAAAAAGAATTTAGCTCTAATCCTATATTTTAATTAATTCTAATCTTATAACATTAATAATCAGGTAATACAATTTAACAGAGAAAACTTAAATGGCTTAACAAGTAATATTTAAGATAACTCTTCCTCCAGAGGTGTTAATTACCTCAAGTTGTTTTTCATTTGTTTATTAACCATTCAGATTCAAAATATGTTAATTCATTACCAAAACAAACAAAAAACAACTTATCAATGTGTCAGGCCCTGGGAATACAAGTATGAGGAAAACCTGTTTGTCTGTTCTCAGGTGAACACATGTTACCTGGCAGCACTCTGGAGAGGCATCTCAGTACAGAATAACACTAGAAATCTGTAGATTACAGACTGGTTGTAGATCCAGCTACGTCACAGACTTAGCAGGGTAATCTGAATCCTGAGCAGCCCATTTTAAAATGGAGAAATCTGACAAGCTTATTGAGACAATATGACAAAATGCACATAGCAGTAACGTGTAAACTTTAAAAAAAGGTACTCAAATTAACAGGCAAACTGTCCTCTTTCTCTCTTTCTGTCAAAGGTCCATTTCACCAAAACTGTGAGAGGAAATAAACATTCAAACTCAAAACTCATAACTAAAAGCCAGTTATGGGAGGCCTACCAAATATAAGAATTTTACATAAATATGTGAAGAGGTTGCCTATCACAGGGGTAATGTTTACAGTTAATGTATAAGGTAACCATCATTCATATTAAAAACTGTCAATTCTTAGGAAGATTTCCCTTTGCAGACTGACATACCTTTTATCAGTGAGACTGCTATACATAGTTTTTCATCGAATGTTAAAGGAAATCATTCTTATCACTATTTCTTTATCAAGTATGTTCACAATACCAGCAGCTACGTTAGGGTCATGCTGTAGGAGTAGCAGAATTATCCACGGCCTGATGAGGCTCATGCCATAAGGAGCTTGCAGGAACTGAGTGAGACTCACCAATGTTAACGGGAGGGTCATGTTTCCCATCTCATGCCTGAACTTAACTGGATTGAATCTTTCGTGGTTCTATTCACACTGTTTTTTTTTCTTTTTTCTTTTTCTTTCTTTGAGACGGAGTCTCACTCTGTTGCCCAGGCTGGAGTAAGGTGGTGAGATCCCGGCTCACTGCAGCCTCCGCCTCCTGGGTTCAAGCTATTCTCCTGCTTCAGCCTCCTGAGTAGCTGGGATTACAGGCGCCTGCCACCACGCCCAGCTAGTTTTTGTATTTTTAGTAGAGACGGTGTTTCACCATGTTAGCCATGCTGGTCTCAAACTCCTGAAGTGATCCTCCCACCTTGGCCTCCCAAAGTGTTGGGATTATAGGCGTGAGCCACTGCGCCCAGCCCCACACTGTCTTTTTCTTAATAAAAGATTTATGGATAGATAACTAAAATTTTATAGATACGATGTGCTTATAATACAACTGTACCTTATACACAAATAAAAGAAAGCAGGATACTTGTCATAACTTGCTGCTCACTGAACATATACTATGTAAGTGTAATCACAGAGAGGCTAAATTAAATCAGAAAGTATCAGTGCTCATAAACTAAACAGTGATACCATTCTAGAAAAGAGTTCAATATGCAGCAATCATTGATGGATCTTCAGTTACTGGGCATGGCAAAGAGCATGAGAGAAGAGATAAACAAGAGTAGGGATGGGACACTTGGGAGACAGTAAGTTGCAGGTATGTGAAGGGCCCAGGAAGTTGAATGAAGGCCTCAGCTCTGATAGGCACTCTGCCTGTCCCTTAGCACATCCTGTCTCATTTTCCCCATCCTGAACCTATGCAGACTGAAAGTCAAGTGAGGAGAGGAAGAGTCTGAGAATTTCAACACCAAGCTACCTGAGCTGATGAACACAGGAAAAAAAGAAGAGAAATTTGTGGCTAGACATGGCAGAGGAGGGCATCCCCATGGACATGAACTGCAGGTTCTAAGTAGAAGAATGGGACTATCAGCACTCAGCAGACATAGTAGAACTAAATCATGTGACTGATTTATTATAGAGGAACTATATTTATATTGATTTAATATAGAGGAACCTCTCCACCCCTGGGGCGATTAGAGAGAAAAAGGGAGAAAAGAATGAGAGAGGTGTGACATCCAAGGATAAAAGTAACATAGGTATAATATCATCTACTTTACAGCACTTTTGCAAGGCTTAAATGAGATAATATGCTTAGAATCGTATCTGGTATTCCGTATCATTTATTGAATTACTCCTGTTACAAAGTAGAAATCTAAACAATATACTCTGAAACCACCCATTCCAAAAACTTGAAATAAATCTGCAACTAAAAACCAGTCTCAAATAAGCAGAGTGCAGTGCACAGTGATGCTCAAGTGTCCTTGGTGTCATCATGTAAAACATTATGAGAAACAAACGCAAAACCCGAAAGTAACTAGTGGCTCAAATTTTAAAATCTAAAAATTGTCACAACCTAAAAAGTCTGAAAGACTCCTGGACAACACATTTAAATTGTAGAGAAAAAAGTACACTGAGTGTGAGAAGTCCCATAGATTAAATTTAAAACACAGGCCGGGCGCGGTGGCTCATGCCTGTAATTCTAGCACTTTGGGAGGCCGAGGTAGGCGGATCACTTGAGGTCAGGAGTCTCTACTAAAAATACCAAAAAATAGCCGGGCATGGTGGTGGATGCCTGTAATCCCAGCTGCTTAGGAGGCTGAGGCAGGAGAATTGCTTGAACCCGCGAGGTGGAGGTTGCAGTGAGCCGAGATCATGCCACTGCACTCCAGCCTGGGCAACAGAGCGAGACTCCGTTTCAACAAACAAGCAAGCAAACAAACACACACAAAAACAGACTAAGATCTGAACAAATATCATTCTAATTCTTTTATCTTGATCAATGCTTCCTGAGGACAACAGTGACTGAGCAAAGGAGAACTAAGGTCTTCCAGAACATTCAAATGGGATTCTGCTTCAACAGTAATTAGACTATATTACTGTATATTACAGACTACCTAGGCCAGTTCTATCCCAGTTTGAGTATAAGAGGCTGATTTTAACTGTTTTGCTCATATCCTTGCAAAACTACATTTGAAAAATCATAACTTTCTTGTACATTTCAAAATGTACAACGTTTATACAAATTTTTTTTTTTTTTTTTTTTTTTTGAGATGGAATCTCCCTCTGTTGCCCGGGCTAGAGTGCAGTGGCACGATCTCGGCTCACTACAAGCTCTGCCTCCTGGGTTCACGCCATTCTCCTGCCTCAGCCTCCAGAGTAGCTGAGACTACAGGCGCCTGCCACCACGTCCGGCTAATTTTTTTGTATTTTCAGTAGAGATGGGGTTTCACCATGTTAGCCAGGATGGTCTCGATCTCCTGACCTCGTGATCTGCCCGTGTTGGCCTCCCAAAGTGCTGGGATTACAGGCGTGAACCATCGCGCCCAGCCACAAATTTTAATACTTAAAAAAGCATGCAATTTGGAGGGTGTTACATGCATAGGTATATATGTTTAAAATAATTGTATCAAAACCTTGAAGCTATAGATTAAGATCCTTTAATTTATGGAAAATATCTACCACATAACTTTACTGTCAAACCACTCAGCCATACCAGATTTACTTTCGATTCAAATTAGCTTCTTACTATTTGTCCTGGTTACAACCATCTCGCTACCCCGTTAGAGAGACAAGCACCCAGGTGAGCCATGACAGAGCAGTGAATTCTCCAAAGATCCTGTTCTTTGACATCCTAGAGGTTGAGAGGTTTTTGTTGTTTTGTGTGTGTGTTTTTAAGAGTCAGAGTTCTCACGATACTACCCAGGCTGCTTCTCAAACTCCTGAACTCAAGCGATTTCTGGCCTCAGCCTCCTGAATAACCGAGACTACAGGCATATACCACCACACCCAGTGGTTTATTTTTAAAATAGCCTTGGGTCCATAACCCATAAGATATGGAAGAGTGAGAGATCAATCTTTGGTTTATAAAGTGGAAGAAGAGCAACTTCAGGAAGGTGAGAAAGGAGACTGAAGAGCTAGTAGTTTCTAAAGCAAACCTATTAGTGGTAAGTTCATATGAATGTGAAAATTTGTTCCATTAAAACCATCCATGTTCCGAAGACACTGTGCTAAAAGAAATGAGCCAAGCTAAGCGAGGTGGCTCATGCCTGTAATCCCAGCACTTGGGAGGCTGAGGCAGGAGGATCACTTGAGCCCAGGAGTTCCAGACCAGCCTTGGCAACATAGCGGCAAGACTCCGTCTCTACAAAAAAAAAACAAAAAACAAAAAACCTGGGAATGGGGACATGTGCCTATAGCCCTAGCTACTCAGGAGGCTGAGGCAGCAGGATTGCTTGAGCCCAGTTTGAGGCTGCAGTGAACTGTGATGGTGCCACTGTAGTGCAGCCTGGGCAACAGAGCAATGCTCTGTCCCTAAACATTAAAAATGAATCAATGAATGAATGAAATGAGGTGGTCAGAAAAGGACAAATATTGTCCATTTATATGAAGTACATATAGTAGTCAAATTCAGAGACAGAAAGTAGAATGGTAGTTGCCAGGGGCTGTGAAGAAAAAGAAGAATGGGGACTTAGTGTTTAGTAGGTATAGAGTTTTAGCAGGGGAAGATGAAAAGAGTTCTGGAGACGGATGGTGGTGATGGTTGCACAAAAATGTAAATGAACTTAATTCCAGAGAACGGTACATATAGAAATGTTTAAAATTATAATCTGAGGAAGCTGTTTGTAAAAAACAAAAGCCCTGAAATTCAGATGTCAGCTGCAGAATCCTGAAATGATTCTTACCTGCTTTAATGTCACTTAGTGCAAAAAGGCCTACACGGGTATCTCCATTCACAGACCACTTCTGTGTTTCACAGTTGGGCTGGCAGCAATGATTCATGAACCGAGCATAGTTTCCTTTGGGACCAGCATCAATGATTCGGTCCTAGAATTCCAAAAGAAGCTACACATCAGACTTCCTGAGACCTCTGCTGTGGATTAAAATTTGACTATTCTCTCTAATAAGTTGGAGTTTCTATTTGTAAAGACTGAACCTCTCAGAGAAAAGATCCCAAAGAACTTTGGTTCTCAAAGTGTGATCCCTGGACCAGCACCATCACCATTTGGCAATTTGTTAGACATGCAAATTCCTGGGTTGTGCTTCAAATACACTAAAGCAGAGACTGTGGGGTGCAGCATTCTGCGTTATATATAACAAGGCTGCCAGGGGTTTCTGACTACATTGAAGTTTGAGGACCACTGCCCTACAAATAGCAGCTTGTCCCACTTTCTATTTAGGTAGTTTCAACCCAGATGCACATTAGAAATCACCTAAGGAGATTTAAATACTAATGCGGAGTCCCAATCCCAAAGTAAGATCAGAATATCTGGAAGTGAAGATCTCACAAATCCTAGTGCACAATTTGAGAAATGTTTACAAAGGTAAATACCAAGAAAGGGTTTTATTATAAAAACTAAGGCCAGGTGCGGTGGCTCATGCCTGTAATCCCAGCACTTTGGGAGTCCGAGGCAGGCAGATCACCTGAGGTCAGGAGTTTGAGACCAGCCTGGCCAACATGGTGAAACTTTGTCTCTACTAAAAATACAAAAATTAGCCGGGCGTGGTGGCGGATGCCTGTAGTCCCAGCTACTTGGGAGGCTGAGGCAGAAGAATCGCTTGAACCCAGGAGGCAGAGGTTGCAGCAAGCCGAGATCATGCCACTGTACTCCAGCCTGGGTGACAGAACGAGACTCTGTCTCAAAATAATTTTAAAAAAAAATTTACATAATCTTATCAGTAAAATAATTAAATATTTAACAATTTTCTCAACTGTAAAATAAAATAAAAAAGAATTATGTACTTTTCTGAGTTCAAACTTGTAATCCTGTAGAAAAAATACTCAAAGATATAAGCTCCAATTTTCATTGAATTGTTCAAAAACAATGCTAAAAGCTGCTGTATTGCCTCTGGCCATGAATACCCAGAAAATGAGCACTCTTACCTACTCCAGAACCCCAATCCAGCAATCCCAATGGGTATGGGAAAAGACCCTACCTTGGGAACTGCGTTACATGCCTACAAATACTATGGCTGGGACAACACAAATTTACAATCTTGTAACAGTGAAAACAGCATTTCCCATTACTTACTTTGTCTAGGGTGAGCATATAGAAATTAGTGATATCATGTTCTTGAGCATAGCGAATTCGAGCTCTGCATTCTTCTTCATCTATAAGCTCACCCACATACTCATTCACAAATTCACCCTAGAACAAGAAATACCTCCTGACTTAATGGCAAAAAAGGACACTGGTATCCAAATGTATACATTTTTTTAAAAAATTAATGAAAACATCACATTCTACAAAGCAGATTACATGAGTATAATTTTAGGCACACATAATTACTTTACGATCCCCAACTATTTGATAATGAGAAACACCTCCTTACTCCTACCACTGTCAGCAGCAGAAAGATTAGGATACACTGGATACTAAAGATCCTCCAGAATGGAAGATTAGTAAGTAAACTAGAGCGTCCTTATAAAGAGAGATGGATGGCCAATCTCTACCTGCCCCAGAGCCCGAGAATTGGCTTCCCCAAATAAACTATGTTCATCTTCCTTGGTGCTTGCTCTGCTCTATATTTCAAAGTACCATCCTCCCTATTCATTATGCTACAGTCACTCTGGCTTTTCACACGTGTTCACTCCTAACCTGCAGGGCTTTAATGCACCTTGCCTGGGTCAACAGCTACTTATATTTCAAGTCTCAATTTAAAATAGCCTCACAAGTCAAGAGTGATGGCTCATGCCTGTAAACCCAACACTCTGGGAGGATAATTTGAGCCCAGGAGTTTAAGTCCAGCCTGGGCAACATGGTTAGACCTCACCTCCACAAAAAATACAAAAATTAGCCAGGCGTGGTGATGCGAGCCTGTAGTCCCTGCTACTCAGGAGGCTGAGATGGGAGGATCACTTGAGCCTGGAAGTTGAAGGTTGCAGTGAGCGGAGATGGCACCAGTGCGCTCCAGTTTGGGCGACAGAGTGAGACCCTCTCTCAAAAAATAAATAAAATAAAATATAATATCATCAGAGACAAACTAGTTTCAGTTCCTTTGTCACACATCTCTAGAGCCCTTTATACTTTCACACTGGGAGATGATTTGTTCAATATTTCTCTCCCTCCGAAATGTAAATTTTATGAAAGTATAGGCCATATCTCTCGTCTTGGTTAGTGCATCCCCAGCACAATACCTGGCACATACAGTAAATATAAAAATAACTACTTAGCAAATGACTAAACGCCAACCCATATACACTACATTTCCTGGAAACCAATAAAATTCTTCAGAAAATGTAACCAGAATAAGGCTTATTTTATTAAAAAAAAAAAAAAGACTATACAATATTATTTATTTATTAGAAACTTAGAGATCCTGCCAAGTTTTAAGTTGAAGACATGACTGCATTTTCATCCAATAAGGCTTAACCTTCTTATCCTTCATGTTTCATGAAGCCAGACCTGTTTTTTCCTCACTAAAAATGTTTTATTAGTAGGTGGATCAATGTCTCTGTATCATGTGCTCACTGTCATCTCTCTTAATTACCAGCTGTAGGATATTCACAAAAAAGCAAACAAAGCCATAGCATCTCTATGAATGTCCCATTTTTTCCAACCTCCTACACAGTGACCATGATCAATACAAAGGACTTGGGAGATCAAAACCATCCATTCGTAAGCCTCTAAACGGTAGAAGGATATGGCAAGACACAACAATAAGGTTAATTATTAACTGTGTTATTTTCTTCTATGATGAATTTTCTAATGTCAAGGATCAATGATATCAAGCAACTGCAAAGAGGAGAAAGTATATGGTAATTTAGCTTTTTCTAACCTTTTTAATATCTGTTTTTGTCCGTAGACCCCAACCCCGCTGTAATGTGCGGAAAATTTCAACCTCTGGATATTGGCGCTTGGAAAAGCACTGGTTTTGACAGCGCCCTCCGGCAGGACACACTGTGGGGTGGCACTCATAGAGCAGCATGCGGTTGATGCATTCAGAGTCTATCCCACAGGGGTTCTCATCAGTAGCTTTACAGTTGCAACGGGGTATTTCAGATAAGTCTGCAGTGAAGATCTGTACCCTGCCAATAGGACGGTTTACCTGGAAAAGTAACACAAAGTACACCGCATAAAACAAGTCAGCAGAAGACAATTCACGTCCTGAAAAAGGCAAACTTTTTTTCCTTGAAGTTGCAGCCACATTTCCCATGATTTTGAACTATCAACACTTAGTTTCATATAAAAACAGAGCCTCACTTGACATACAAAATATGAACTCCACAAGAATTGCTTGAACCCAGGAGGCGGAGGTTGCAGTGAGACAAGATTTCACCACTGCACTCCAGCCTGGCCGATATGTTGAGATTCCATCTCAAAAAAATAAAATACGAGCCAGGTACGGTGGCTCACGCCTGTAATCCCAGCACTTTGGGAGGCCGAGGCAGGTGGATTACGAGGTCAGGAGATTGAGACCATCCTGGCTAACACGGTGAAACCCCGTCTCTACTAAAAATACAAAAAATTAGACAGGTGTGGTGGTGGGCGCCTGTAGTCCCAGCTACTTGGGAGGCTGAGCTTGCAGTGAGCCTAGGTCGTGCCACTGCACTCCAGCCTGGGCAACAGAGTGAGACTCGGTCTCTCGGTCACAAAAAATAAAATAAAATAAAATAAAATAAAATAAAATAAAATAAAATAAAATAAAATATGAACTTTAAAAATTTTTTTGAAATTCATTTTAAAAAATAATTTCAGCCGCGCCTGGTGGCTCACACCTGTAATCCCAGCACTTTGGGAGGCCGAGGCAGGTGGATCACGAGGTCAGGAAATCAAGACCATCCTGGCTAACACGGTGAAACCCCGTCTCTACTCAAAATACAAAAAAATTAGCCAGGCGTGGTGGCGGGCACCTGTAGTCCCAGCTACTCAGGAGGCTGAGGCAGGAGAATGGTGTGAAACTGGGAGGCAGCGGAGCTTGCAGAGATCGCGTGACTGCACTCCAGCCTGGGTGACAGGGCGAGACTCCGTCTCAAAAAAAAAAAAAAAAAAAAAAAAAAAATTTTCAAAGCTGATAAGCCAGGTGAACTATAAACTAGGTTTCTGCTATTGCCACATGTTGGTGTCACATTTGCTGCTACAAAAAAATAGGCATTATTCTTCCTTCCTTTTTTTGAGAGGGAGTCTAGCTCTGTTGCCCAGGCTGCAGTGCAGTGGCGGGATCTTGGCTGACTGCAACCTCTGCCTCCTGGGTTCTAGCCATTCTACTGCCTCAGCCTCCCAGGTAGCTGGGACTATAGGCACACACCACCAAGCCCGGCTAATTTTTGTATTTTTAGGAAAGATGGAGTTTCACTATGTTGGCCAGGCTGGTCTCGATCTCCTGACCTTGTGATCTCCTGACCTCAGGTGATCTGCCCGCCTCGGTCTCTGAAAGTGCTGGGATTATAGGTGTGAGCCACCACACCTGGCAAAAGCACTGTTCTTAAGTGGCAAATAAATGGCATGAAATCATCTGTGTGTAATTTGAGTTCCTCTATGCTTCCTGCATCAGCCTCACAAGTAGTTGGGACTACAGGCAGGTATCACCACACCCAGCTTATAATTTAAAATCTTTTAAAAGGACTATAGCAATGTCACTCATGGATTAATTTAGAAGTGGTGCTAGTGCTCAAAAACACAGTGAAAGTTTGGTGAGTTAAAACATGAAGGTCAAACAGTTATTGTGACACCAAAGCCATTAATGTAGAGGTTTTAACAAATACTAGCAACAATAAGGAAAGACAATAGATGTTCCAGTACAATAATGGATTTGTGCATGAGAATGTATCTCCCCTCATTTCATATTATTTCAGTGGGAACAGTCAAATTTAGTCTTCTAAGACACAAACCGCACAAAAAATTTTGACTGTTCAGGAACTGTGTGATTTTGAATAAATTACTTGCAAGACTATTGTAAGAATAAGAAATATATGTATAGTACAGCACCTAGCTGCCTCTTAAACATGGTAGACATATTAAATTCTTTCTTCCTTTCTTATATAATGCCCTTATGATTGTTTCTCTCATATCAAATATTCTAGATTACTCATTCCAGTACACCTAAAATCACTTACTTAAAAGTCATTTCTGTCCTCTAAATTTTCAAATGCTTTCATTTCTTGCATTTTATTATTTGCCCACTCCCCTTTAATATTATGAAATCTACAATCTGGATATATGCTGCCATCAAACCATTTTTCTATCAACATTTAACAGGAGGAGGCCAGGTGCAGTGGCTCACATCTGTAATCCCAGCACTTTCGGAGGCTGAGACTGGAGGATTGTTTGAGCCCAGAAGTTCAAGACCAGACCAGGCAACACAATGAAACCCTATGTCTACAAAAAAATTATAAAGCTTAGCCGGGCATGGTGGCAAGTGCTTGAGGTTCCAGCTACTCAGGAAGCTGCAGTGGGAGGATCGTATAGACCTGCAAGACACTCCAGCAAGATGCTGTCCGTGGGGAAAATGGATGTAGGTCTCACTGCCAGATCTGTTCCTAGATTCATCAAAACACTGGTAAGGTTTGGAAACTTCTTGCTAATGGAGAAATATCCCCAACACATGCAACTGGAAGCCATAAGGCATAAGGCTTACAATGTCTAAGGCAAATTCTAAGGGGACAGACAACAACAGCTAATCTCAGTCACCCAAGACTACAAGTCCTGAATAGGGCATTTGAACATTCACTTCTGATTCGAAATATTTTTACTTGAACCCTTCCCAAATACACATAAAGGTTCATGCTACTTCTTTTCTCTCTACAAATATATATTTGTTTTTGTTTTGAGACAGGGTCTTACTCTGTCCCCCAGACTGGAGTGCAGTAGTGCAATCACAGCTCACTGCAGCGTTGACTTTCCAGGCTCAGGTGATTCAGGTAGCTGGGACAACAGGCACCCCAAATTTTTTTTTTTCTTTGTATTTTTTGTAGAGACTGGGTTTTGCTATGTTGCCCAGGCTGGAAAATATATGTTTTAATCATTGTTTCTTATCAACTGATCTAACCTGTTATTAATCCAAAAATAAGTTTTGTACTTATCACATCGTAAACCAAAAGCAAACCAAAACAAATCCCACATGGTTAAGAACAAAGACATGGATATGTAATTCTAAGTAAATCTCACTATAGATCAGGAGTTAAGTAACTTTTTCTGTAAAGGGTCAGAAAGTAAACACTTCAGGCTTTGCAGGCCATAGATCTCCACATGTAGCTCGACTCTGCCACTGTAATATAAAAGCAGCCATATGTAATATGTAAATGAAGAAGCATGCCTGTATTCCAATAAAATTTTCTGGATACTGATTGAAAGTTGAATTTCATATCATCTTTATGTGTCACAAAATCTCTTTTTTGCCAATCACTAAAAAATACAAAAACAACCTGTAGTTCAAGAGTATTACAAGAATAGGCAGTAGACCACATTTGCCCATGAACCATAGTTTGCCAATGCCTGCTCTAGATCCTTTTCCTGGAAATGTTTATTAAAAAAAAAAAAAAAAATGGAGTAAAGAAGTTGGCCTCTAAGTTCTTGATGAGATCACTCACAGGAAACTGCTCTCTCAGTAGCTCAATATGGTTAATATGTTAACTCTAAAATGCCTACCTTGCTGTTATCTGACCCTCAGGACTATGTGAATAGAATTATTTTCCATTTCTGAGGCCTAACGACTATGTTCCAAGAATATATTTTCACATACATTGTGAGACTCATTTAGATCCAATTATAGGTTTTGAAATTCTTAATTTCAGAAGTTGTAATCATTTGTAAGGATTAACAGTTTATGACTTTTTTCGTTTTGTTCTTTTTTTAATCTAATCTTGGTATGGATATTTTATGACATTTAAAGTAACAATTTAAAGGCCAGGAGTGGCAGCTCATGCCTATAATCCCAGTAATTTGGGAGGCCAACGTGGGAAGACAACCTGAGGCCAGGAGATCGGCCTAGGCAACATAGTGAAATCATCATCTCTAATAAAGGGGGGGAGAAAAAAGCAAAAAAAACTGGGCCTGGCACAGTGGCTCACCGTGGGAGGCTCAACTTTGGGAGACCGAGGCGGGCAGATCACCTGAGGTCAGGAGTTCAAGACCAGCCTGGCTAACATGGTGAAACCCCATCTCTACTAAAAACACAAAAATTAGCCAGGTGTGGTGGCACAATGCCTGTAGTCCCAGCTACTCAGGAGGCTGAGGCAGGAGAGTGGGCTGAATCCAGGAGATGGAGGTTGCAGTGAGCTGAGACCACGCCACTGCACCCCAGCCTGGGCAACAGAGTGAGACTCTGTCTCAGGGGGAAAAAAAAAAAAAGACTTCAGAAGCAGTGTTTATGACTTTTATCCCTTTTTAGAGGTCTTCCAAAGTTCAAAAAGAAAATATACTTATTTAAAAGAATAAAATTCAGGCCAAGTGTCGTAGCTCACGCCTGTAATCCCAGTTCTTTGGGAGGTTGAGGTGGGTGGATTGCTTTGAGCTGAGGAGTTCAGGACCAGCCTGGGCAACATGGTGAAACCCCAACTCTACAAAAAATACCAAAATTAGCCAGGCGTTGGTGGCTCATGTCTGTAATCCCAGCTACTTAGGAGACTGAGGCAGGAGGCAGGAGAATCACTTGCGCCCACGAAGCGGAGGTTGCAGTGAGCCAAAATTGCAGCAATGCACTCTAGCCTGGGTCACAGAGGGAGACCCTGTCTCAAAGGAACAAACAAAGAACAAAACTGATTCTGTCTTGTAAATACCATGTAAGTCCATCAGACTAAATCTAAGACACGGTATGGAATTTTAGTGTTCTTACTTTTCCTCTATCTTGTAACAACTTACTAATTCATCATTACACATTATTACTAACTCATCAATAATTCACAACTATGCTAAAGAAGACAGAAATAATAAGAAAAGGGAGGCCGGGCGCAGTGGCTCACGCCTGTAATCCCAGCACTTTGGGAGGCTAAGGCAGGCCGATCACGAGGTCAGGAGATCGAGACCATCCTGGCTAACATGGTGAAACCCCATCTCTACTAAAAATACAAAAAATTAGCCCGGTGTGGTGGCGGGCGCCTGTAGTCCCAGCTACTCGGGAGGCTGAGGCAGGAGAATGGCTTGAACCCGGGAGGCAGAGCTTGCAGTGAGCCAAGATCGTGCCACTGCACTCCATCCTGGGCGACTCCATCTCAAAAAAAAAAAAAAAAAAAAAAAAAAGACAAGGGAAGCACAATGGAATCACATATAAGCACGATGAAATACTGAAACTGTCACACTTTAGATTTCTTACGGCATTACCCAAAGTACTGCATTGTCGTTTAAAAAAAGTATAAAAGACCGTCTACTACACCTGAGGAAAGGAGTTTAAAAATAAAAAAGCAAGTATAAAACACTGGAGACACGATCTTGAAGGTCTGATTTCGGTAGGGTTATCAGATTTAGCAAATAAAAATCCAAGTCATCTAGTTCAATCTGAATTTCTGACAAACAACGAAAGTTTTTCAGTTTAACTATGCTCGATCCAATATTTGAGACAAACTTAAACATACTAGATTCTCAAGATGGTGGTCAAATTAGTCTCCAAGTAGCATCTCAGATTATCAGTCTTTGGAAACACACAGCCGGGCGTGGTGGCTCATGCCTGTAATCCCAGCACTTTGGGAGGCTGTGGCGGGTGAATCACTTGAGGTCAGGAGTTCGAGACCAGCCTGGCCAACACGGCGAAACCCCGTCTCTACTAAAAATACAAAAATTAGCCGCATATAGTGGTGTGCGCCTGTAATCCCAGCTACTCGGGAGGCTGCGGCAGAAGACTTGCTTGAACCTGGGAGATGGATGTTGCAGTGAGCCAAGATTGCACCACTGCACTCCAGCCTAGGAGACAGGGGGAGACTCCATCTCAAAAACAAACAAACAAAAAAACAACACACACACACACACACACACACACACACAAAGGATAAGTGAACAAATAATGCATTTCTAAGAACAAAAAAGAAATAGGGTATTCTCATCCAGGAACAATGCCATCAAAGATGTTTTACAAGAACAACCTGGGTAATCTCCTTTTCTCAACAGGCCTAACAATATTCTTTCATGTTTTATGATATTTGAGCATCGCAACTAACTTATCTGATAAAAAGAGGTTTGTAAAAAGGATTTAGTAAATATTAGGTTGGTGCAAAAGTAATTGAGGTTTGCCATTAAAAGTAATGATAAAACTGCAATTATTTTAGCAACAACATAACACTAAAATTTCTAATACATTTGTTCTCCACTGTCTCTTTATTTTTATGTCTGTCAATTATTCATATAAATGACATAAAAATGTTTAAAATACAAAGGCTCCACTGGACCCAGATGATAATGGTGATGACTATTTCACTAGGTAGGTTAAAGGTTAGGTCCACCTAAAATCAATTCTCCTGACACTGGGAATCCTGGCAATGCGCTAGGAATGGTGTTCTGGTACTTGTTTCTTTTTTTCTTCTTTTTTTTGGAGACGGAGTCTTACTCTGTCGCCCAGGCTTGAGTGTAGTGGCACGATCTCGGCTCACTGCAACCTCTGCCTCCCGGGTTCAAGCAATTCTCCAGCCTCAGCCTCCCAAGTAGCTGGAATTACAGGCACCTGCCTGGCCAGGCTGGTCTCAAACTCCTGACTTCAGGTGATCCGCCCGCCTCGGCCTCCCAAAGTGCTGGGATTACAAGCGTGAGCCACCGTGCCCGGCTATTTCTGATCTTCTTTTAAGCTCATACCTCTACCTAAAACGAACTATGCTTGTGCTTCCGTTCTTGTCATGAACAGAGTGGGAAGAGCCAGCTATTCCATTTCTCTTCTAGAGAAGGTCCCCCAAGATTTTCTCCTCACCTTTATATGTTTATAAGGTGGTGGCTTCTTGTCATTCTTTCGGTCTTCCTGCAGCTGTCTTAGCTCTTTTTGGGCCTTTAATTCCTCAAACCTTGCTGCAGCTTCCTGAAGAGCTATGAAAACAGACAGCACAAGTCACTTCAAAATCTCTGGGTGGAATTACTTATTTATTCACTTATTTTTTACTTTTTCCCCTTTAAGTTGGAGAAACTCCATGTTTTACACAAAAATCGACCAATGCTATATGAAAAAGAAAACACATAACAGCTATTTTCAAACAGGTAATGTAGTCCAAAGGGTATTCAGACATAGTATTAAGACAAAACATAATCCAGAACTAAATGGCACAATACAGACTATCACCCTTTAGATCACTGGCATCCATCCATCTGAATACGAGAACTTTTTTGCTTATCTGTGGTGGCGGATATCATAAAAATTATGCATGGACTTTTTTTTTTTTTTTTTTTTTAGCTCATCAGTTATTGTTACTGTTAGTGTATTTTATGTTTGGTCCAAGACAATTCTTCTTCCAGTGTGGCCCAGGGAAGCCAAAAGATTAGACAACTGTGCGTTAGATGAGAAAACAATAAACAACTAAATGACTTTAGAAAGCCCACAGATGCCATCTCCTAACAACTACGCTTCATCTGCTTAGCAAAGTCACTGCCTTTAAGCCTTTCTTGCCTCAGTCCTAAACCTCCCACTTTCGGAAACATGCTACATCTTAGGTGCCCCAGATATTGTGCTCACTCTCCTCTGGCAGAAAGTCAAAGTTGAAGCTTTGTTCTCCTTCTTGCCTCTTATCCTAAGACTTGTTGTGTAAATATAAACTATTAGCTCTAATGATACACAGATCTTCATAGCTAATCTACACTCAAGTACCGTACTTTATTTTTTTTGAGACAGGGTCTCACTCTAACACTCTGGTTGGAGTGCAATGGAGCAATCACAGCTCACTGCAGCCTCGACCTTATGGGCTCAAGTGATCCTCCCACCTCAGCCTCCCAAGTAGCTGTGACTACAGGCATGCACCACCATGCCAGGCTAATTTTTTTGTACAGACAAGGTTTTGCCATGTTGCCCAGTCTGGCCTTAAACTCCTAAGGTCAAGGTATCTGTTTGCCTCAGCCTTCCAAAGTGTTAGGATTACATGCATGAGTCACTGTGCCCGGCCCCTGTACTTTCTCATGTTTAAAAGATTGCAGTATCTGAAAAGTCCAACAAAATCTTAAGATTCTCATTCTGCACTTAAAACTGTAATTCCTTATTCTTCACCCACATTAAAAACTCTGAGAATCCCATTCTTCCCACTTTCTCTGTGCCTTTCCCCAAGTCTGTCAATCCTTTAAAGAAATTCTCCCCTCTGACCTATCCTTTTTTCTTCATTTCCTTGTAGCCATCTACCAGAGTTTGTATGTGTTCCATGGAGTCATCTAAATTGTCCTAAAATGTGTTCTTTCCAGGAGAATCATCTAAATTTTCCTAAAATGTGTTCTTCTAAGGAGGTAGACTAGAACATTATTCAGCATGTCCTAGTCTACCTCCTTAACATCTATCCAATATAAATCATATTCTCCATCCCCATGAACAATTCACCATTAGTCTCATTCTTTCTTTCTTTCTTTTTTGGTGGTGATGGTGGTGGGGCGGGCGGGGAGGGGTGGGTGGACACACAGAGTCTCGCTTGCTCTGTCACCCAGGCTGGAGTGCAGTGGCATTAGCCTCTGCCTCCCGGGTTCCAGCGATTTTCCTCCCTCAGCCTCCCGAGTAGCTGGGATTACAGGCGCACATCACCATGCCCAGCTAATTTTTTTTTATTTTTAGTAGAGACAGGGTTTCAATGTGTTGGCTAGGCTGGTCTCAAACTCCTGACCCCATAGTGCTGGGATTACAGGCTTTAGCCACTGTGTCCAGCAGAGTCTCGTCATTTCTGCCCCAAACTACTTAAAACAGCCATCTCACTGATTTTCCCACTTGCAGCCTCTCACCTTTTAATGGTCCCAACAATGTCCCAGGCTAAAGTTTCTAAAACTCTGCTCTAACTAGGGATCTAGTTAGATCTTCATCCTTTCAGGAAAATAGCCCAACACTCCCCCAACCATGTGCTTAAACTGTACCAAATACTTGGAGGTTGCTAACTCAGGATTTTATTAATAGATTCAACACGTGCTTTCACATGTGATGCCTTCTTGGTAAAATGTATCACATTTTAAGTCCTTTTCCTTCTTCAAAGTCAGTGTAGAGGTTAGATTCTGGCCCTACTATAAGAGTCAGAAACATTCCTCTATCACTTACTGGTACTGATATGTTAGGCGAGTACTTTAACATTAATGTGCCTCAGTTTCCTCATCTGCAAGATCAGGATGGTATCCACCTCATAGGGTTATCATAAGCACTTAAAGCAGAAAATAAACACAGAACAGGGTCTGGCAAACAAAAATGCTAACTATTATTATTATGATTCATTCCTCAAAGTCACTTAGTAATCATTCATGACTTCCAAACATTGCTCCCCAGCTTCTTCTTGCTCTGTTCCCACAGCATATACAATACACACTTCTGCCACAATATTAATAATACCAAAATCCCGGCAGGTATTTCGACTGCTGGTATCTATTTCAGATTCTCCTGCAAAAATACAAGCTCGAAGAAGTCAGAGGCACCTAGAAACCCCCTGATTAAGGCAGAATCTCAGAGCTTAGGCAGGCTCAGACCTGCGGTATTCCTTATACTCCGCCTTCTCCCCCAGTCTCAGTGGTGGCCAGCTCTGTGCAGGCCAAAATACTGGCGACTTTATCCCTGACCACCTGAGATTACAAGACTCAAGACCCCAGCTCCTGAAGTATTAGTACTAACAGCACAGTACTATGTATTTTTGTATTAGCAGTAGAACTGATAGACAGCCCATATCTATGTACAGAAACCACAAGACAAACAGGGTAAGTGAGGAGCTACTAAAATAACATGTGGCAAACAGAACCTTTGTTAAACTTGTTCCCTATCGACATTACTCCCATTCCCTAACCAGGAAGTTTTACCTGCTTAGAATCTTCTTCCATGTCACTTGCTTAGAATCCCTTTTCATCTCACCCTATAGACAAAGTCTTACACAGATGCTCCTCATGTTAACAATTGGTTTACCTGGATGTAATCCCATCATAAGCTGAGGAACATAATGGAAGTGCATCATCATAAAGCTGTAAGTTGGACCATTCTGAGTTGGGAACCATTTGTACTTTAAGTACCAAATAAATTAAATAGCAAGGGATATATTATCTTTCAAAGGACAGCTAGAGGAAGAAGGTAATTACCACTAAGGGGATACCAATTATGTACTCTGCAGGGACACTTTTTATAATCCCACTGTATTCTAAGAGCAAACTTTCTCCATTACATGGTAAGAGAAAACCGGGTTCGAAGTTGATTGGACCACCTGGTAAGCAGTAAAACTAGTTCTGCTTATAACAGGGCACCCTGCCTTCATTGCTAGGCCAGTTTACAAAACTTTATTTTGATTCAGAGCATTTATGCTTTGACCTTTACTAGTTTGTTCTACAATATCTGGTGAATTTTACTTCTTCCCAACGAGCTCAAGACAAGACAAGACAAGACAAGACAAGACAAGACTCCTTGGAGCAAATGTAGCTCTGCTAGAGATCTGAGCCTCTGTCTAGCAAACTGAAGTGTTTCTTCTATGAAATAGTTTCAGAACTCCATTATTTGATGGAATGCTGACAAAACAACTGATAAGTCAAAAAAAAGCTCAAGGAAATTCAAATTAAGTAAAGGTTAAGGCTCAAAAATAATGAGTTACATGGGTCAACTTCCTTGCAAAATACTGTATTTGCAGCCAGATAATGCCCTGAGAGGACAAAGGCAGTTTCAAAATGGAGCATATGTGAATTCTAAAACAGATCAGACACTCAGGTAACAGAGGTCTGTGTTTGCCTGAGAAACAAAAAGGATAAAGTTACCTTTTTTATATGTCCCATCCACTCCTTTGCCCATCTTATCCTTGCTGCTCACGTCACCCTCCATGTAAGGGAAGACTCGGGCCTGGTGAGTCCACAAATAGTCATTAGATCCAAAAAAGAGGACTGGGAACTCTCCCACATCATGTCTCATCTTATCAATGTTGGAAGGAACAGCTCGAGGATGGCAGATCTCAGCTGGCCACCACCTGGGAAAGGTGAAAAGGAGAAGGAAAACCTCTAGAAGGCTGCAAGGCATTAGGAAAATAACCTACTCATATAAAAGTAAGGATTAGCAATGTCTGTCTGTCCACATTAAAGTCCATCTTACGGCATTCTTACAACCTAACTAGAACACAAACAAGTCGTATGTGCTAGAAGCTGGAAAACATCTGCCCACATTCCCACACAGGCGCGCACTCCCTTAGACTCAATTATTCTACTTCAAGGATTCTACTTAAAGGAAATAATGATATAGGAACAGAGAGTTATGACAATAACATTCACTGAAGCATTATAAGAAGGAAAAACTGGAAAAAGTATAAATGCTCAACATCAAGAAAATAATAGTATTATCCATGGTACACTATACAAAATAAAATACAATTTGGTCTTTAAAAAGGAAACCTTCAATAATTAGTAGGAATATGGGAGAACAGCACCAAGAAATCAAAACACAAACACATACAAACAAAATCAAAGAATGTAAATTACTATACAGCCACTTTAGGGAGACAATTTGGCACTACCTATTAAAGCTGGAAACCTCTATCTACCTACTTTACTCCAGAGAATGCCCTAGAGAAGGCCCTAAGTATATAAACCAAATATATACTTGTATATAAGTATATACTTATATTCAAGGTCCCAAGTATATAAACCAAGAAAAACTGACCAAATGTTCACAGTCCAAACAGGAAAATGGATAAGTGAACTAGACATTATGTGACTACATAAAGGAACAGTGAACTATGAATGAACCACTATACAATACTATGATGAATCTCAGGGGCATAAAAGTGAATGAAAAAAGTTGCAGGAAAATGTATCAACAATAATTCCTTTACATAAAGGTCTAAAACACAGCAAAGAAAACAAACTCTCACAGAAGGGCGAAGGAATGAAAAACCTAGAATTGAGTACAGTGGTTACCTCTGGGGGTAGGAGAGAATGGAATCAGGGCATGGAATAAACCTCAAAAGTACCAACAGTGTTCTATTTCTTTAAGTGGGAGGTACATACACAGGTGCCACTTTTGTCATTCTTTAAAGTCATGCATGTTACATCCTTTGTGCTTTCCATATTCAATCAAAATATATTTTTTAATTTTATTATTATTATACTTTAAGTTTTAGGGTACATGTGCACAACGTGGTTTGTTACATATGTATACATGTGCCATGTTGGTGTGCTGCACCCATTAACTCGTCATTTAGCATTAGGTATATCTCCTAATGCTATCCCTCCCCCCACCCCCCACCCCACAACAGTTCCCGGTGTGTGATGTTCAATCAAAATATTTTAAAAAAGAAAAAGTGGCCGGGTGCAGTGGCATGTACCTGTAGTCTCAGCTACTCAGGAGGCTGAGGCGGCAGGATCCCTTAAGCCCAGGAGTTTGAAGTTGCAGTGAGCAATGATCACACCACTGCACTCCAGACTGGGTGACAGAGGATACCCTGTCTCAAAACAAACAACCCAAGACACATAACAGAGTATAATCTGTAAAAACAGTTATTTTGGATGGTGGGGGGCATAACTGCGTATTGGTACGTCTGGGAGTACATATGCCGAAATGTTAACAATGCGCCTGCCTTGTGAGATTATTACTGTCTTTTCATTTAAAAAAAAAAAAAAAAACTTTTCACAAAATACACAAAAGAAAAAAAAATTTCGACAGAGAACATGTATTATTCCTATAATTGTAAATCATAAAGTTAGGTTTCTCTTCCTATAAGGAAAAAAATCAAGAAGAAGAGGGGAGGAGTACCATGAGTAATTAAGTAGATCATTAGAAATACGTTAAGCATTGTATCTGAGAGGTCTCAAGAAACAGAGGATGGTAAAAGAGATGAGTGCTATTCTTCAGGCTTACCTGTATCGTCCAACTTTTACCCAGACAATCTCCCTGTAGTGTGGCTTTTTGCCTGCTTTACAGTCATTGCAATACCAGTTTCCTTCAGGGATATCAATGTTCAGGCATTCACGATGAAAAGCAGCAGGGCAAGAATCACAGCACAGAAGGCTGCCTCCTGTGGGAATAAAAAAATGTGGCATTCAGATCACAAGACTGCAAGTCATGTATGTGTACATCCATACACATATATATATATATTTTCTTTCTCTTCACTAAAAGATATACTAAATAAAAACATTATCAGTGACACATAATGACCAGAGTATAAACAGCATAAGCTTTATTTAACTCTCGTCAGGTTCAGGTTGGAATTCTAGCTCTAGGACCACAGGCCCTTGGGAAATTCACTTTCCTTGCTGAGCTATAATTTCCTCAGCGGTAAGGAGTTTTCTCTAATAAACAATAACCACATCTGTTTGAAGATTCACCTAGCTAATAAATTACCTAGTAGCGTCTGACACATAAGTAGTATCTCCATATGGTTAGTTCCTTCCCTCCTTTTAGAACTACTAACTTTTCGGCTGGGCACAGTGCCTCAGGCCTGTAATCCCAGCACTTTGGAAGGCTGCAGCAGGTGGATCACCTGAGGTCAGGAGTTAGAGAACAGCCCGGCCAACAGGGCGAAACCCCCTATCTACTAAAAAATTAGCCACGCGTGGTGGCACATGCCTGTATTCCCAGCTACTCGGGAGGCTAAGACAGGAGAATTGCTTGAACCTGGGAGGCGGAAGTTGCAGTGAGCCAAGACAGCACCACTGCACTCCAGCCAGGGTGACAGCAAGGCTCTTGCCTCAAATAAATAAATATATAAATGCTTTCAAAACACAGTAGTTTCAGCAGACGGGCAGGCATTTTATTTTGTTGCCAAAAAGAAATGAGCCACGCTCTTGCCAGAAATGAGCATGATTCAAACATGCTAGACTCAAACATGTAATTCCAAGTTTTACCCTGAAGTGGGGAGTAAAGCCTTAGCAAAGAATATATCCGAGTTAATCTTGTTCTCACTGTGCTTCTTTCACCTCTTAAAATCCTACTATAGAAAAAGGCGGGGGTCTTGGCGGCCGGAAGAGGAGTAGGTGCGGGTGAAGATGGCGGCCGCCGAGGTCGTGAACTGCATCATGGAGGTGTCCTGTGGCCAGGCGGAAAGCAGCGAGAAGCCGAACGTCGAGGGCATGACGTCCAAAGATTACTACTTTGACTCCTACGCCCACTTCGGCAACTCCATGTTTCACAACCGCCACCTCTTTAAAGACAAGGTGGTGCTGGATGTGGGCTCGGACACAAGCATCCTCTGCATGTTCGCCGCCAAGGCCGGGCCCGCAAGGTCATCGGCATCGAGTGTTCCAGTAGCTCTGATTATGCGGTGAAGATTGTCAAAGCCAACAAGTTAGACCACTTGGTGACCATCACCAAGGGGAAGGTGGAGGAGATAGAGCTCCCGGTGGAAAAGGTGAACATCATCATCAGCAAGTGGATGGGCTAACTGCCTCTTCTACGAGTCCATGCTCAACACTGTGCTCTATGCCCGGACAAGTGGCTGGCGCCCAATAGCCTCATCTTCCCAGAACGGGCCACACTGTATGTGACGGCCACCGAGGACCGGCAGTACAAAGACTACAAGATCCACTGGTGGGAGAACGTTTATGGCTTCGATATATCTTGCATCAAAGATGTGGCCATCAAGGAAACCCTAGTGGATGTGGTGGACCTCAAACAGCTGGTTACCAACGCCTGCCTCATAAAGGAGGTAGACATCTACACCGTCAAGGTGGAAGACCTGACCTTCACCTCCCCGTTCTGCCTGCAAGTGAAGCAGAATGACTACGTGCACACCCAGGTGGCCTACTTCAACATCGAGTTTACGCACTGCCACAAGAGGACCGGAGGGACCGGCTT